>NC_000003.12:196876563-197027563 GCF_000001405.40 Homo sapiens
ACCTAATTGACATCTAAGAAATACACAAATTGGAAGACAAAGTCAGATAGATGTGATGGCTCGTGTCTATAATCTCAGCTCTTTCGGTGGGCGGATCACTTGAGTCCAGGAGTTTAAGACCAGTCTGGGCAACATAGACCGTATTTCTACAAAAAAAAAAAAAAAAATTGCCAGGCGTGGTGGTGTGTGTCTGCTGTAGTCCCAGCTACTCAGGAGGCTGAGGGAGGATTGCTGGAGCCTGGAAAGTTGGGGCGAGCTCTGATTGCACCAGTGCACTCCAGCCTGGGTGACAGAGTGAGACACTCTCAAAAAAATAAGAAAGAGAAAGACAAAATTACATTTTGATTTCATTCTTAAATAACCACAGTTATTTACCGTATATACTTGTTGGGCACTACAAAACCCAAACCGTGGAATCATATTGGACTCTGCCACCCACATTGCTTACTTTTTAATTAAAACAAATTTGCTTTTGGCTGGGCATGGAGGCTCATGCCTATAATCCCAGCACTTTGGGAGGTTGAGGTGGGAAGATCGTTTGAGGCCAGGAGTTCAAGACCAGTCTGGGCAACATAGTGAGACCCCATCTTACTACCTTATTTTATTTTTTTTAATTTTTAATTTTAAATATTTATTTAGAGATGGAGTCTCACTGTGTCACCCAGGCTGGAGTGCAGTGGCATGATCTTGGCTCACTGCAGCCTCCACTCCCTGGTTGAAGCGATTCTTCTGCCTCAGGCTCCTGAGAAGCTGGCCATTACTGGTGCCCACCACCACACACGGCTAAGTTTTGTATTTTTAGTAAGAGACAGGGTTTCACCATGTTGGCCAGGCTGGTCTGGAACTCCTGACCTCAGGTGATCTGCCCTGCTCGACCTTCAAAAGTGCTGTGCTTACAGGTGTGCGCCACCGTGCCCGGCCACTATCTCGCTATTTTAAAAAATAAATAACATTTGTTTACATCTTTGTTTTCTCCACTCATTTTTTGCTCTAAATTGATATTTGCACAGTATTTTTTTTTAAATCACAGCAACCAATAGATACTCAGCTTTGCAAAGATTATGATATCATCAAAAGGAACATAGTGTGATCTATTTTGAAGCTGAACTGTCTTGAACTAGTAGTTTATAAGGTGTTTGACAAGTATAGAAGATTACTTTTTCCCTGTAATTTAGAATTTCCTGTTGTGCTCTCGTGAGTTCTCTACAGAATCCCAGGTTGCCTTGGGCACAGTTTGGGAACTGTGATCCTAAACTTTTGATAGTTTGGTGTATATGCTTTTAGACATTTTTCTCCAAACATTCAAGCATATGCATATATTTTTCCTTTTAACAAAAGTGGGCTGGTACATATTGGTCAGCAACTTCATTTTTTCCATTCAGCAGTGTATCATGGTAAAGGTGGTGGATTGAATATATACGTTTAATTTTATGCCAGCCTGAAAATTTCATTAAAACAATGGAGGACTTAAAAACCCTCTAGATAACAAAGAACAGGAACAATGAGAATAACAACAATATCGTGAAAGCTGGAAAGCAGAAAAGACTAATGGCAACTAATTCGCCAACTTGAGAAAGCTGTATCCTAAACCAACAGTGGAGAGAGCCTTCAAATAGTCATGTTATGTTACCAAACCCTTTAAAAGTCTCAAGATTAGCTGTGTCCTGTACTGTGGAGGTGGAGGTGGGACAGAAAATATGAGGAGTTGTTTGAAAGTCTGTTTCAGAAAAGTTTCCACTCCTGACCTCCCTTTCTTCTCCCCGTAGACATAAATAGGGTAACTAGAGACTTACTATCTGGAGTAGAAAACGATTATTATCTGGACTGAGGGATACCATGCATAGTTAAGGATAAGGTACTGTGCCTTATAGTGGAAATCTATATGCTGAAGGTAGAAACCTCTAGCTTTTTTTCCTGACATAGTTCTCAGAATCTTGCCCCTTTCTGCTGTTTCCCATTCACCAAAAGCAGCCTCTTTCAAGTCTTTGAGGTATTGTTTTGGTATAAACAACATGTCTTTAAATTACCTTTTTATTTTTATATTTTATGAGATGGAGTCTTCCTGTCACCCAGGCCAGAGTACGGTGGCATGATCTCCGCTCACTGCAATCTCCGTCTCTCGGGTTCAAGTGACTCTCCTGCCTCAGCCTCCCGAGTAGCTGAGATTATAGGTGCCCGCCACCATGTCTGGCTCATTTTTGTATTTTTAGTAGAGACAAGGTTTCACCACGTTGGCCAGGCTGGTCTCGAACTCCTGACCTCAAATGATCCGCTTGCCTCGGCCTCCCAAAGTGCTGGTAGTACAGGCATGAGCCACCATGCCCGGCCTAAATTACCTTTTTATAATGTAACTTGTGATTACTTAGTTTATGCTTTATCTGTTGACTTGAAGATGAAGATTGTTCTTTTTTACATCTGTTCCCCACGTCTGTGTACTTGCATACTTCTTATCTTCCCTCCAAGATACCACTGTATCTTCCCACTATAGGGATGCTATAAGGGGCAGTATTACCATTCCAGGTGAGATAATTCTTCATTGTTGTGTTTATTGCATGATACTTAGTATCCTTGGACCCCAGCGGTAAATGTCAATACCAACCTGAATGTATTACAGCAACCAAGAATTTCCCACACATTTCCAAATGTTAGGTTGAGGTGGTATGGAGTATCTGGTTGAGAAGCACTGGGTTAGATCAGTGTTTAGCTTATTACTATTATGTAAATGGTAGTCATAGTTAAGCCATGTAGTATACCAAGGTTTACAACCACTGTTTTCCCTTTCTTGTACATTTTTCTGTTGTCCCTGAAATTAATTGTCTTTATCTTTTGTTTAGTGTTCTCTGTACCTACTACTAACTGCAAACTCTCTTCTGGTTGTCTGTTTCTCCTTTATTTGCTTTCATACACTTTAGAAATTCTATCAGGATCACATTCTTGGAGCCTTTTGACTGACTTTTGACCGCTCCCTTCTGGATTGGTGGCCCTCCAGGCTTAAGGCACATTGTCATTCTGCATCTATTTTTACTGTTATCTTTAGTATTCTTTTTGCCTGACTCTTGTTTTTGGATCTCATTTCCTGCATCCTGTGTATTCTTGACTTACTCCCATATTTGCCAGAGTACCTTCTCCTGTGACTCTCTGAGAAGGATGCATGGGAGGTAAATATTTTGATAACTTACATCTCTGTAAACCTTTTTTGTTAGTTGTTATGTTAGTTTCAGTCTGTCATTTTGTGGTACTTTCTGGGAGATTGCTCAAAATTTTAAATGTTTTAATGTTTTACTTTTAACTTCGAAATAACTTCAAATTTACCGAAAAAAATTGCAAAATATTACAGTTTTTCTATATGCTTCACCTAGCTTTGCTCCGAAGTTTTGTTTCAGTTTTTTTTGTTTGTTTGAAGACATGGTCTCACTCTGTTGCCCAGGCTGGAGTGCAGTGGCGTGATCTCGGCTCACTGCAACTTCTGCCTCCTGGGTTCAAGTGATTCTCCTGCCTCAGCCTCCCGAGTAGCTGGGATTACAGGTTCATGCCACCGTGCCTGGCTAATTTTTGTATTTTTGGTAGAGACAGGGTTTCTCTATGTTGGCCAGGCTGGTCTTGAACTCCTGACCTTAGTTGATCCACCCACCTCAGCCTCCCAAAGTGCTGGGATCACAGGCATGAGCCACTGTGCCCAACCTTACTTCAGTTTTTTTAAGGAGACAGAGTCTTGCTATGTTGCCCAGGCTGATCTTGAACTCTTGGGCTCAAACAATCCTTCTGTCTCCGCCTCCCACGTAGGTGGGTCTACAGGTGTGCACCACTGTACCTGGCCTCTCCAATGTTATAGAACTGCAGCACATTGTCAAGGCCAGGCAATTAACGTTGAGAGAATACTGCTAACTGATCTGCACACCTTATTCCAATTTTGTCAGTTGTCACATGACTTTTCTTTTTCTGAACTGAGACTCAATCCAGGATTATACCTTGTTTAATTGTCGTCTCCTTAATCTCAGTCTTTCATTCTAGGACAGTCTGTCTTTGTCTTTCAGGACTTTGACTGATGTGATTGAAGAGTATTAGCCAGTTATTCTTTTTTTTTTTTTTTTTTTTGAGACGGAGTTTTGCTTTTGTACCCCAGGCTGGAGTGCAATGGCGTGATTTCGGCTCACTGTCACCTGCGCCTCCTGGGTTCAAGCAATTCTCCTGCCTCAGTCTCCCGAGTAGCTGGATTACAGGTATGTGCCACCGTGCCCGGCTAATGTTTGTATTTTTAGTAGAGACAGGGTTTCACCGTGTTGGCCAGACTGGTCTCGAACTCGCGACCTCAGGTGATCTGCCCACCTCGGCCTCCCAAAGTGTTGGGATTACAGGCATGAGCCACCGCGCCTGGCCCTTTTCCTTTTTTATTTTTTTTTTGAGATAGGACATCACTCTGTTGCCCAGGCTAGAGTGCCATGGTGCAATCTCAGCTCACTGCAACCACAAACTCCTGGGCTCAGTTGATCCACCCACCTCAGCCTTCTGAGTAGCTGGGACCACAGGCACATGCCACCACACTTGGCTAATTTTTATATTTCTTTGTAGAGATGGGGTTTCATCATGTTGCCCAGAGTGGTCTCAAACTCCTGGGCTCAAACAGTCCACCCATCTCAGCCTCCCAAAGTGTGAGATTGTAGGCTGAGCCACAGTTCCCTGCTGGTTGTTTTTAATATTTTGCTATTATAAACAATGCTGCAATGAATAGCCTTGTACATGTGTATATTTGTATTATTGTAGGCATGTCTTCAGGTAAATTCCTTAAAGTGGGGTTGCTGGATTAAAAGGTAAATACTTTTGTAGTTATTAAATGTTACCAGATTACCCTCCAAAAAGATTGGATCAATTTGTAGTCCTCCTAACAAAGTGTGGAAAGGCCCTTCTTCCCCACCAAGAGAATGTGTTATAATTTTTGCCAATTGTCTTATAAATGAATTTGGACATCTTTCTTAAGCTTAAGGAACATTTAAAAAGCTTTATTTGTAAATTGTCTCCTTATGTATTTTTCCTATTTTCCATTAGGCTTTTTTTCAGTTATCTCTTAATTTAAGAGGTCTATATATTAGGGATATTAGGCCTTTATGATACATGTTGCAAATATTTTTTTCTAATTTATCAGCTGTCTTTTCATTTTGTTCATTTATTATTTTTTTTAACTTCCAAGCTTAATTGAGTTTTTAATTTCTGCTATTATTTTTAATTTTCAAGACCCCTTTCTTGTTTTTGGCCATTCCTTTAGAAAAAGAATAACACCCTGTTCTTTTTTTTCAATGGATGTAATATTTGCTTTTGCTTCTTTGAGATAGTATTAGTTTTTTTTTTTTTTTTTTGAGACAGTCTTGGTCTGTCACCCAGGCTGGAGTGCAGTGGCTCAATTTTGGCTCACTGCAGCCTTCAGAACTCCCAGGTTCAAGCAATTCTCGTGTCTCAGCCTCCCGAGTAGCTGGGATTACAAGCACGTGCCACCACACCTGGCTAATTTTTTTGTATTTTTAGTAGGGTTGGGGTTTTACCTTGTTGGCCAGGTTGGTCTCGAACTCCTGACCTCAAGTGATCCGCCTGTCTTGGCCTCCCAAAGTGCTGGGATTATAGGTGTGAGCCACCACACTCAGCCCCCTCTTTTTTTTTAATTGTGGTAAAATATACATAACATAAAATTTACTATTTTGACCATTTTTAGGTGTACAGTTCATTGGCATTAAAGTACATTCGCATTGCTGTGCAACCATCACCACCATTCATCTCCAGGAACCTTTTTATCTTCCCAAACTGAAATTCTGTACCCATTAAGCAATAACTCCCTTTTCTCCCCCTCCCTGTTGGTTTATAAAAGTTGACTTTATATAGTTTTTGCTTTTATCTGTTTGTTTTGGTCTGTTTTTATCCCTAGACATCTGGTGATTCTTGGTCATCCTTTATTTTTTATTTTATTTTTTTGAGACAGAGTCTTGCTCTGTCGCCCAGGCTAGACTGCAGTGGTGCGATCTCAGTTCACCACAACCTCTGCCTCCCAGGTTCAGGCAATTCCTGTGCCTCAGCCTCCCAAGTAGCTGGGATTACAGGCATGCACCACCATGCCCAGCTAATTTTTGTATTTTTAATAGAGATGGGGTTTTGCCATGTTGGCCAGGCTGGTCTCGAACTCCTGACCTCAAGTGCTCTGCCCACCTTGGCCTCCCGAAGTATTGGGATTACAGGCGTGAGCCACCATGCCCAGCCCGTCTAGTTGTTTTTAATAATGACCACTAAGAAACTGCTTGGGAACTCTTAACACATGGTGGAATGTGTCAACTTTGGGGTACACTGTGGGCCATTTTGTGGGGTAATATCTGTATCTTTATGGATTTTTTTTTTTTTTTTGGTGGACTAGTTATAGTCTCCAGAAAAGAATCTTCAGTCTGCTTGTATGGGTGAGACAGACTGCTAGCATTCTGGGAGATGAGTGGCAAAGTGTGTTCGGAGTCTCATATGCAGTATATAATTCCATCTTCAAATTATGCCTGGAGTCCCTGTGTCTGCAGACTTTCCATTTTACTCTTTTTTGCATTTTACATTTCACTATTTTATCTAAAGGATAAACTTCCAATCTTGGGTGGGGGAGGGTCACTTACCTGCCATGTGGAGTTAAGTAGGGATCTGGAGTCTAACTGCTTCTTAAACTTTAGGCCACCCTATTGAGTCATTGTTCAGACTTATTTTGTTGTGACATCCCCAAATATCACTATCTGTTGGTTTTTTCTCCGTGAATGATCTGTTTTCCCCCAGGGACTAGTCGCCTTCTTGTGGGTATAGAGCTTCTTGCCAGTCTTATGGAAGCTGAGTGGGGAAGGGCCTGGAGGGGAATTCACGGTGTAAACTCATTTATCCTCCTGGTATACCCCTGTGCTCAGCTGTACATGATATACTGGACTATCCTGGGTCATCCTCCTCAGAAAGTGAAACTTTCATCATCTGCCACGGTAGGAGATGGTATCTAGGAGTTTCACTGCTTCTTATTCAGACTTTGAGCCAGCGTTTCCTTTTCAACACCACCCATACTCCTGACTTTCATAGGTATATGTTGCCTCTGCTTCTGAGCCTTTCTGCTTTCTGAGGTCCTATAGCTGCTGCTTTTTTTTTTGGAGACAGAGCTTCACTCTTGTCTCCCAGGCTGGAGTGCAGTGGCGCAATCTTGGCTCACTGCAACCTCCACCTCCCAGGTTCAAGCAATTCTTCTGCCTCAGCCTCCCAAGTAGCTGAGATTACAGGCACTCATCATCATGCCTGGCTAATTATTTTTGTATTTTTAGTAGAGACGGGGTTTCACCATGTTGGCCAGTCTGGTCTCGAACTCCTGACCTCAGGTAATCCATCTGCTTCGGCTTCCCAAAGTGCTGGGATTACAGGCATGGGCCACCACACCTGGCCCTGTGTTCTCATGTGTAAAATGAAGGACGGGGAAGGGAGAGGAGACCAAATACCACTTAAGACTGATTCCATATTGACTTAATTATAATTTGCTCATAGCAAAATAATTAGTTTCATACAGCAGATTTTTAAAAGAGCAGGTACTTTTGTTCTGTATAGTCATGCACCAGTAGATATTTAGTAAATACATGTGAGGTCAGCATCTCAAGAGGGAAGCCACGCTCCTCTGTTACCAGTCAAAGACTCTGGGTAGCCATGCAAGGACAGGACTTTATCAAATGCTCTCACCCAGTGATGGTTCTGGATCTCAAGTGAATATAAGAAAAAAGAACCAACACAAGCATACACACATATACTGCAGGAACACACTCTAGAAGTAGATGGAAATGAATGACAGTCAAATCCAAACAATAACTTCCCCTCAGGATTTAATAAAATCTAATATTAGCGAAGGCTCTTTAGTCTAGAAAGAAAGGCACCAGTCACTGCAGGTAGAGTGGAAGAAAGACTATGAAACAGAAGCCAATATTCTAATTTCAGCTTGACAACAGTTTACTCAGAAGTGCTGTATTACCTTTCTGTGTATAAGTTTTCTCTGGGGAAAAAAATGGAGGACTGAACACATGTTTACCTCAGTTCCCTCTCCAAATCACACTGAGGTTACAGAAATCAGTTTTTTTTTGTTTTTTTTTTTTTTGAGATGGAGTTTCGCTCTTGTCACCCAGGCTGGAGTGCAGTGGCGCGATTTTTGGCTCAGTGCAACCTCCACCTCCCAGGTTCAAGCAATTCTCCTGCCTCAGCCTCACCAGGAGCTGGTGTCAGGTGTGAGGATTACAAGCAATCCTTGCACCTTGGCTTCCCAGAGTGCTGGGATTGCAGGTGTGAGCCACTGCGCCTGGTCGAAAATGATTCTTAAGTTTATTTTTCTCAGAGGCAGGTGTACAGCAAATGGCTTTTTGTTAGACTACTCATGTCCTCCCTCCTCTCCAGTTTTCATTGTGATGAAAACCTTGGTCAGATAAGATTTCATTGTGTCCAATAGTCTAAATTGAAGTATATGTACTCTTTTTTTTTCTCAATTTTCTGCCTTAGTTACTGTGAATATGTCTTCATGACCTTATTTTTAGATAGAAATATAACTTACTTCTCTTCTTTACAGCTGCATCCAGATCTCATTATGCATCAGAAAAATGAAAAAACAGAGGAAAATTCTATGGAGGAAAGGAATCCACTTAGCCTTTTCTGAGAAATGGAATACTGGGTTTGGAGGCTTTAAGAAGTTTTATTTTCACCAACACTTGTGCATTCTGAAAGCTAAGCTGGGAAGGCCAGTTACTTGGAATAGACAGTTGAGACATTTCCAGGGTAGAAAGAAAGCTCTTCAAATCCAGAAAACGTGGATCAAGGATGAACCCCTTTGTGCTAAGACCAAGTTCAATGTGGCTACTCAAAATGTTAGTACTTTGTCCTCTAAAGTGAAAAGAAAGGACGCTAAACACTTCATTTCCTCCTCAAAGACTCTCCTGAGACTCCAAGCAGAGAAGCTGTTGTCATCAGCAAAGAATTCTGACCATGAATACTGCAGAGAGAAAAATCTCTTGAAGGCAGTTACTGACTTTCCATCAAATAGTGCTTTAGGTCAGGCCAATGGTCACAGACCTAGGACAGACCCACAACCTTCTGACTTTCCCATGAAGTTCAATGGGGAGAGCCAAAGTCCAGGTGAGAGTGGCACGATTGTGGTCACCTTGAACAACCATAAGAGAAAGGGCTTTTGTTACGGCTGCTGCCAAGGGCCGGAGCACCACAGGAATGGGGGACCCTTGATTCCAAAAAAGTTCCAACTTAACCAACATAGAAGGATAAAATTATCTCCTCTTATGATGTATGAGAAATTATCCATGATTAGATTTCGGTACAGGATTCTCAGATCCCAGCACTTCAGAACCAAAAGCAAGGTTTGCAAGCTAAGAAAAGCCCAGCGAAGCTGGGTACAGAAAGTCACTGGGGACCATCAAGAGACCCGTAGGGAGAACGGTGAGGGTGGCAGTTGCAGCCCATTTCCTTCCCCAGAACCTAAAGACCCTTCTTGTCGGCATCAGCCGTACTTTCCAGATATGGACAGCAGTGCTGTGGTGAAGGGGACGAACTCTCATGTGCCTGATTGCCACACTAAAGGAAGCTCTTTCTTGGGCAAGGAGCTTAGTTTAGACGAAGCATTCCCTGACCAACAGAATGGCAGTGCCACAAACGCCTGGGACCAGTCATCCTGTTCTTCTCCTAAGTGGGAGTGTACAGAGCTGATTCATGACATCCCCTTACCAGAACATCGTTCTAATACCATGTTCATTTCAGAAACTGAAAGAGAAATTATGACTCTGGGTCAGGAAAATCAGACAAGTTCTGTCAGTGATGACAGAGTAAAACTGTCAGTGTCTGGAGCAGATACATCTGTGAGTAGCGTAGATGGGCCTGTGTCCCAAAAGGCTGTTCAAAATGAGAACTCATACCAGATGGAGGAGGATGGATCTCTCAAGCAGAGCATTCTTAGTTCTGAGTTGCTGGACCACCCTTACTGTAAAAGTCCACTGGAGGCTCCCTTGGTGTGCAGTGGACTCAAACTAGAAAATCAAGTAGGAGGTGGAAAGAACAGTCAGAAAGCCTCTCCAGTGGATGATGAACAGCTGTCAGTCTGTCTTTCTGGTATGCACTTTTCCTTTATTCTCCCTCAAACTCCAAGCTCACATTTGCTGTGCATTATCCTTGCTAATAAGAGTCCTATTTTTTTCTCCCACTCATGAATATTTCTTTAAACCAGTTAGTCTGCTTGAAGCCTTTTATATTGCTGCATTATGTAGATGTTCCATCATTTAATCCTTGTAGACACTTGCATTGATTCCATTTTTTTCATAAGCTAATAGTGCGATGAAATTATGTCTTTACATTTATACATTTGTTTCTGTAAGCTAAATTCTCATTATTAGAATTGATGGTGAAGGAATATTCACACTTAAAATTTTAAGATAATTAAGTTACCCTCCAAAAAGTTGAACCAGTTTACATTTGTTAAGCTTTGGCAGTCTTACAGATCACAGAGTTTTGTTTTAATTTGCATTTTTGAGTTTTAAGTTTGAACATCTGTTTCTGTGTTTATTGGCCACTTTTTTGTATGTGCATGGTTTTCCTTTGCCTATTTTTCTTTTTTTTGAGATGGAGTCTTACTCTGTCGCCAGGCTGGAGTGCAATGGTGAGATCTTGGCTCACCACAACCTCCACCTCCTGGGTTCAAGTGATTCTCCTGTCTCAACCCCCCGAGTAGTTGGGATTACAGGCACCCGCCACCATGCCTGGCTAATTTTTGTATTTTTAGTAGAGATGGGGTTTCACCATGTTGGCCAGGCTGGTCTCGACCTCCTGACCTCACGTGATCCACCCACCTTGGCCTCCCAAAATGCTGGGATTACAGGCGTGAGACACCGTGCCCTGCCCCTTTGCCTATTTTTCAACTGGATTGTTTCTGTTTTTTTTTTTTTAATATAGGAGACGCTCAATGTACCAGGCACTGTGCTGGTTCCTAAGAATGTAGCAATGAACAGAATATATGACCTTCAGGGAACTTGGTGTCATTCTAGTCATAAAAATGTTTAATTGCTGATTATAAATGTCATAAGAATGGTCCCTCACGAAAGGTAAAAGCCTTCAGTACCCCAAAATTGTTTGATATTTTTGCTTAATAGGAGTTTTCAGTTCTTACATAGTAAAACTTATCTGTCTTTTTTTATTTTTTATTTTTTGGAGATGGAGTCTTGCTCTGTCACCCAGGCTGGAGTGCAGTGACGCAATCTCGGCTCACTGCAACCTCTGCTTCCCGGTTCAAGCAGTTCTCCTGCCTCAGCCTCCCAAGTAGCTGAGACTACAGGCACACGCTACCATGCCCGGCTAATTTTTTGTATTTTAGTAGAGACAGTGTTTCACCATGTTGCCCAGGCTGGTCTCGAACTCCTGAGCTCAGGCAATCTGCCCGCCTCGGCCAGTCTGCCTAAAGTGCTAGGATTACAGGCATGAGCCACTGCGCCTGGCCTAAAGCTTACCTATATTTGACTTTGAGGCTTCTAGTTTTTACGTCATGCTTTAAGAAGCCTTCTCTTGTCAAAAATCTATCCCATAAGGTAAACTGGTGTAAACATTTCTTTGGAAGACAATATGATAGTATAAATTATGGCCCATTCAGGCAATAGTTTGCTAGCAGCTGTTTAAGAATATAGATCTATATTTTGATACTGAAAGATGTCTATATAAAGTGAAAACAGGCCAGGTGCTGTGGCTCACGCCTGTAATCCCAACACTTTGGGAGGCCGAGGTGGGCGGATCACCTGAGGTCAGGAGTTCAAGACGAGGCTGATCAACATGGTGAAACCCCATCTCTACTAAAAATACAAAAATCAGCCAGGTGTTGTGGTGCGTGTCTGTGATCCCAGCTACTTAGGAGGCTGAGGCAGGGAGAATCGCTTGAACCTGGGAGGCGGAGGTTGCAGTGAGCTTAGGTTATGCCACCGTGCTCCAGCCTGGGCGACAGAGCGAGACTCTCTCACAAAAAAAAAAGAAAGAAAAAAAGTGAAAACAGTAAGTTGCAAAATGGTATGAAACCATTTTGTTAAAAGATATATATGACATATGTAGGATGAGTGTGAGTATATATGTGTGCATATGCATTTGTATAGGACATCTGGACAGATATTATTACCATTGGCTTTGGGGAGCTAGTTAGGAGGTTTATTTCTTGGTAGTTGAAACAGTTCTGAGCACTTTCTCTTTCCAACCATTAAGTATAATAAATTCTTCTGGCTGGGCACGGTGGCTCATGCCTGTTATCCCAGCACTTTGGGAGGCCGAGGCGGGCGGATCATGAGGTCAGGAGATCGAGACCATCCTGGCTAACATGGTGAAACCCCGTCCCTACTAAAAATTTAAAAAATTAGCCGGGCGTGGTGGCAGGCGCCTGTAGTCCCCACTACTTGGGAGGCCAAGACAGGAGAATGGTGTGAACGGGGGAGGCGGAGCTTGCATTGAGCTGAGATCGTGCCACTGCACTCCAGCCTGGGCGACAGAGCAAGACTCTGTCTCAAAAAAAATAAAAATAAATAAATTAGTAAATAAATTCTTCCTCATAGAAAGACACAAAGTACAGAGTCCTAGCAAATTAAAAAAAAAAACAACACCAAAAAACCTCTTGTCTATACTGTCCTAGAGTAAAGCCAGATTTCCCTACTGAGGTTAGCAGACCCATGATACTTACACCTGAAAAGAATTAGCATTTACCCACAAATGCCAGTTAACCTTTATAGATGTAACACTTTCAAGTACGGTTGATAAATTGAATATGCACGTAGTAAAACCTGTAGCATGACCTGAGGAAGTAGGAATTCTTACAGAATTCATGTGTAGTGACAATATAATTCACTATTTTAATAGGCCAAAGGGGAAAAAAATGGTATCTCAGCAAGTGCTGAAAAACCTGTTAGTAAAATTGTTTCCTTTTGGGTTTAAATCTCTTAGAAAACTAGTAATAAAGGAAGCTTCCTTGAATTACTAAAGAATATCAATCAGAAGCCAATAGCAGTTTCAGGTTTAAGAGAATGAAGTAAGCTCATGGACTCTCTTCTTCCTCCTACCAAATCCATAGAAATTATGAAAAAATATTAAAAACACATGTGTCTTCATACTCACAAATGAGGAGACAGTTTTGGTAGATCAGAAACTGAGAATCAGCTCCCACTGGGCAAAAAGTAGAGGGAAGGTCCAGGCGGGCAGAAGGAAGATTAGTACAGGGAAGTGGTGTGATACTGAGTGCTCATATTTCTGGAGATGGTGGAAGTGGAGAGGAAAGGGGACACCCATGGTAAGGACTGAGTAGTTGGGGAATCTCTCCCTGCCTGTGCCACATGTCAGCAAAGAACAAATCTGTTATCAAGCCAAAATTCTAAGGACAAGAGACAGGATACTCACCCACACACGTACACCTTGTAACACTTGGCAAGAGTGAGGAACATCCATTTTCAGAACAGCTGCTGGGGTTCTTAGTGTCCTTATTCCCACTGAAAATAGTTCAAGGCAGAGCAGCAGCTACTGCCCATTATAGCCCTTTGCCCTCAATTCTCAGCAAGTTACCTAAGTAGAGATGAACTAACAGTCTATCACCATCCTCTGAGAAAAGCCAACACAATGAAATAGACAAATTCAGCAAATAACAGAACTAAACCTCAGTATTGATTAATGGGGCAATGAGTACAATAGATAATCCTTTAAGGGACTTCTACAACATTAGCCACTATTGAGTTCTGTGGGGTGCTGAATGCTGGCTTGTCTCTAATATGACTGCACATTATGCTCCTTTCAGTTGATTTACATGTTTAAGAGTCAGTTATACTTAGGGGAGATTTACTTGTTGCAGTTTCATAATTTTATTCAGTATTACATAAAATGATGAAATATGAGTGTAAGAAGAAAGCTCCTCCTTTGAAAAACAAGGTGAATACTTTGCAATGACAGTAGCGGGTTGCTGCAAAAAAATGAATGCTGATGCGCTCATGCAGGACAGCTGCAAAAGATTTGAGGGCGTGCGTGAAAGTCTAGGACTCTGCACTGAGATTACTTTGCAAGTTCTTTAAGTTCTTGCTTCGCTTTAAAGTTCTAACCTCTATGTCATGAGTATGCCAGGAGATAATGGAAGGGAAACTGAAGAAATTAGGAATGTTTTCTAGAACTGAAAAGAAAGGTCTGAGTCTAAAGTTGAAAGGCTTTGCAAGTGCCAATCAGGATTAAAACACACAAATACATACACAAACTCACACTAAATTTAGTGTAGTAAAATTATAGCACATCCAAGAGAAATAACTTGGATGGTTACTTCTTTTGGAGGGAAAAGGGATAGATTCCTGTGCCGCAAAACATTCCAGATGGATTAAAAGTTTGGCTAATTAAAACCAAATACACAGAAATGTGTACACGAATGCTTGTAACAGCATTGTTCATAATATCCAGAAAGTGAAAACAACCTAAATGTTCAACACCTGATGAATGGATAAATAAAATTTGGTATATCTATACAATGGAATATTATTCTATAAAAGGAATAAACACCGATATATACTTAAATGTGGATGCACCTTGGAAGCATGCTAAGTGAAAAGCCAGACACAAAAGGCCTTATAACATATGATTTCGTTCATTTGAAATGTCCAGAATAGGCAAATACATAGAGATATAAAGTAGATTAATAGTTGCCAGGAGCTGGGAAGAAGGGGAATGAGAGGTGACTGTTAATGGGTATAGAGTTTCTTTGTGGGGTAATGGAGGTGTTCTGGAATTAGGTAGTAGTGATAGTTACACAATCTGAATATATTAAAAAACAGTGAATTGTGTTCTTTAATGGGGCAAATTTTGTGGTGTGTGAATCACATCTCAATAAAGCTGTTAAAAAGAAACAAATATAGGCCGGCCATGGTGGCTCACATCTGTAATCCCAGCACTTTAGGAGGCTGAGGCAGAAGGATCGCTTGAGGGCAGGAGTTTGAGACCAGCCTGGGCAACATAGCGATATAAATACATAGAGGGATGTATATAGATTTAGCGAGACTCTATTGCTACAAAAAATAAAATTATCTGCATGTGGTGGTGCATGCCTGTAGTCCCAGCTCCTCAGATGGATGAGGTGGGAGGACTGCTTGAAGCCAGGAGTTTGAGGTTGAAGTGAGCTATGGTAGCTCGACTGCATTCCACGCTGGGTGACAGCAAGACCTTGTCTCTCTCTTTTTTTTGAGACGGAGTCTCACTCTTTCTCCCAGGCTGGAGTGCAGTGGCGTGATCTTTGCTTACTGCAACCTCTGCCTTCTGGGTTCAAGCGATTCTCCTGCCTCAGCCTCCGGAGTAGCTGGGACTATAGGCATGTGCCACCACGCCCGGCTAATTTTTTGTATTTTTAGTAGAGACGGGGTTTCACTGTGTTAGCCAGGATGGTCTCAATCTCCTGACCTCATGATCCACCTGCCTCAGCCTCCCAAAGTGCTGGGATTACAGGCGTGAGTCACCGCGCCCGGCCGACCTTGACTCTTAAAAAAAGAAAAAAAAAATACAGGAAATCATTCTTTTTAAGTTTTTGGTTTCTTTGTTTGTGACAGAGTCTCCCTCTGTCTCCCAGGCTAGAGTGCAGAGGCGTGATCTCAGCTCACTGCAAACTCCGCCTCCCGGGTTCAAGCGATTCTCGTGCCTCAGCCTCTGGAGTAGCCAGGACCACAGAGGTGCGCCACTATATGCCTGGCTAATTTTTTGTATTTTTAGTAGAGATGGGGTTTCACCATGTTGGCCAGGCTGGTCTTGAACTCCTCACCTCAAGTGATCCGCCCGGCTTAGCCTCCCAAAGTGCTGGGATTACAGGCATGAGCCACTGTGCCTGACCTAAAGATTATTTTTAATTGACAAAATTCTATATATTTATGGGGTACAATGTGATGTTTTGATATATGTTTACTTTGTGAAGTAAATCAAGATAATCAGCATATCCATCACTCACTTCGTCGTGAGAACATTTAAAATCAATTCTCATCTATTTTCAAGACACAGTACATTATTATTAACTATAGTCACCAGACTGTACAATAGATCTCTAGGACCACTTCCTCCTGTCTAACGGAAGCTTTATGACCCTTGACCAACATCTTCCAATTCTCTGCCCCACCCCCAGCCCCTGGTAACTACCGTTGATTCTCTACGTCTATGAGTTTGACTTTAGATTCCACATGTAAGTGAGATCATGCAGTATATTTTTTTGTGTCTGGCATATTTCACATATTATGCTCCAGATTCATCCATGTTGCAGATGACAGGATGTTTTAAGGCTGAATTGTATTCCATTGTGTATATATACTACATTTTCTTTCTCCATTCATCCACTCATGGGCATTGAGGTTGATGCCATGTCTTGGCTATTGTGGATAGTGCCGCAGTGAGTATGGGGTGCAGGTACCTCTTCAACACACTGATTTTATTGTCTTTGAAATACACTCAGAAATGGAATTGCTGGATCATATGGTAGTTCTATTTTTAATTTTTTGAGGAACCTGTATACTGTTTTCCTTCATGGCTGTGCTAATTCACATTCCCACCAACAGTGTACAGGGTTCCCCTTTCTCCACATTCAAGTCCTTTGCCTGCTTTTTAAATTGGGTTATGTTCTTGCTATTCGTTGTTTGAGCAGGAGACCATTTTTATAATCTTATATTGATAAGACATTTTTGCCCATAATAGGAAGCTCAGAAGCAATGAAAATATACCAAATTGACTCTACAGACATTTAAATCTTGTGTGCATGTGTGTGTGTATAGCAAAAGTTAGATGAAAATTTAAAAATTTAGATATGCATGCCCTTTTACCCAGAAATTTAACTTGTAGTAGGTGTGTCCAAGGGAAACAGTAGAACTAGGATAGATCAAGAGTTTTAATTGTTACATTATTTAGAGGTAAAAATAAATGGCCATCAGTAGGGAATTGGTTACAATACAGTATGCATTTTTTCAGGCAAAAGAGAACTGTCCATGATATAGTGAATGGAAAAAAGCAGCTTCAAGAAGAGTAAGTTTAGGCCGGGCGCGGTGGCTCATGCCTGTAATCCCAGCACTTTGGGAGGCCGAGGTGGGTGGATCACCTGAGGTCAGGAGTTCAAGACTAGCCTGACCAATATGGTGAAACTCCGTCTCTACTAAAAATACAAAAATTAGCCAGGCATGGTGGCATGCGCCTGTAGTCCCAGCTACTTGGGAGGCTGAGACAGGAGAATTGCTTGTACTTGTGAGTTGGAGGTTGCAGTGAGTTGAGATCGCACCACTGCACTCCAGCCTGGGTGACAGAGTGAGACTCTGTCTCAAAAAAAAAAAAAAAAAATTTAGTGTGTTTAAGAAATACATGTTCAAAGGGCTTGAAAGTCCAGAAGGAATTATGGGCTCACTGCCATTTATTTAAAAATATTTATGGTCGTGTATGAGAAAAAATAACTACTTAAAAGGTTGTTTCCACATATAAAGTAAATGTTTATAAAAATGTCCAACTCTTTTTTTCTAGATATTAATGTGGTTTTTTTTTTTTTTTTTTTTTCTGGAGACAGAGTTTTGATCTTGTTGCCCAGGCTGGAGTGCAGTGGCGTGATCTCGGCTCACGGTGGCCTCCACTTCCTGGGTTCAAGCAATTTTCCTGCCTCAGCCTCCCGATTAGTTGGGATGACAGGTGCCCGCCACCACGCCCGGCTAATTTTGTATTTTTAGTAGAGACAGGGTTTCTCCATGTTGGTCAGGCTTGTCTCAAACTCCCAAACTCAGGTGATCCGCCCGCCTTATCCTCCCAAAGTGCTGGGATTACAAATGTGAGCTACTGCCCCCGGCCTAATGTGTTATTTTTAATTTAGTGCTTTGGAAAAAAGTTAAGGTAGATCCTTACCTCATTCTTTACACCAAAATGAATTCCAGCTGTTAATAAAATATTTAGTTGCGAGTTCTTTTTTTTTTTTTAAATTTATTCCCATGGGTCTGGGAACCAATGAAATTAGTTGGTAGTTCTAATACTGTTTATTGAGTGATTTGCTCTTTTCCCTGTGGTTCAGAAATGCAACCTACCACAGAGTCTCTTTGGATTTGATCTCTATTCCATGCTGGCTCTATTTGCCTTAATTAGCGTAGTTTTATCATTTGACAGGACCTGGCGCTCCTTATTCACCTCTCTCCTTTAATTCTTTTCAAAAATTTCTAGGAATTTCTCACATTTTTGTCCCAAGGTAAATTTTGGATTTATTTTGTAATCTTTTAAAAAAGTATGGTTTTTACTTGTTGTTGCATTATATTTATAGATTAATTTAGGGACAGTTGCTTTCATTGCAAAAGACTTCCTGTCCCTTAGTCATATTTCGCATCTTTTCACTTAGGTTTTGCGCATTGCTTATGTTTGTTCTTAGATACTGTATACCTTCCTTACTGCTGATGGGCCCGTTCTGAGGTATGCACTGTGTTTTGTTGGAGAACCATGTGCTTGCATTTCTTACGTGCACAGCACGGGGAACCTCATTCCACATCCAGGGTGGAATGTGACCCAGGTCAGTTGCATCAAACGAAAACTGTCCAGTGCCGTTAGTTTAACATGATGGCTACTTTTAACTTCTTTTTTTTTTTTTTTTTTTGAGACGGAGTCTTACTCTGTCACCCAGGCTGGAGTGCAGTGGCATAATCTCAGCTCGCTGCAAGCTCCGCCTCCCATGTTCACGCCATTCTCCTGCCTCCCGAGTAGCTGGGACTACAGGCGCCCGCCACCATGCCCGGCTAATTTTTTGTATTTTTTAGTAGAGACAGGGTTCCACCATGTTAGCCAGGATGGTCTCGATCTCCTGACCTCGTGATCCACCCGCTTCGGCTTCCCAAAGTGCTGGGATTACAGGCGTAAGCCACCGCGCCCGGCCTTACTTTAACTTCTTTTTTTTAAAAAGTTCTTTTTTATTTTTTCAGTTATTTTTGAGGCAGGGTCTCGTTCTGTTGCCCAAGTTGGAGTGCCGTGGTGGGATCTTGGCTCACTGCAGTCTTTGCCTCCCAGGCTCAACCCATCCTCCCACCTCACCCTCCCGAGTAGCTGGGACTACAGGCATGTGCCAACATGCTTGGCTAATTTTTGTATTTTTTGTAGAGAAGCGGTCTCACTTTGTTGCCCAGACTGGTCTTGAACTTCTGAGCTTAAGCAATCCTTCTGTCTCAGCCTCCCAAAGTGTTAGGATTACAGGCATGAGCCACCGTGCCTGGCCGGGTACTTTAAATTCTAAAATGACACCTCAGGTTTTGTTTTTTATATTACTACCTTTTGTACTTGCAGAGTGCTCTGTAATTTGAACTCCAGTTTTTGTTTGTTGTTTATTCCTAACATTTTATCCTTTGTTTCTTGGGTCACTTTGAAATTTTAGTACTTTGGGAGTAAAATAAATTGTGTATACCAATTGCATTTTTCCTTTTTTAGTTGATCAGTTTAGTGAAAGCAAGTGGGTAAAGAATGGTGGATTTAACTGTCATTTTATAAAATCTGTTTCTGAGTAAAATAAATTGTATATACCAAGTGCATTTTTCCTTTTTTAATTGATTAGTTTAATGAAAGCAAGTGGATAAAGAATGGTGGATTTAACTGTCATTTTATAAAATCTGTTTCTGGATAGTTCTTGGCCCACAGATATTAAAAAGGAAAGGTGAAGAACCAAGTTGTTTTTGTAGAGAAAAGATAACAGATATTTCTTGCTTTGTAAGTGGCATGACATGATAGTTAACAGCCCAGTTTCTGTAGTCACGGTACCTACAATCAGGATCTTAGTTCTACCATATGCTAGTTAAGTGCCCTTGGGGAGGTAACAACCTCTCAAAGCTTCTAATGTCTCCATTTGATTGACTGGTTGATTGATTGATTGATTGAGATGAGGTCTCGCTCTGTTGCCCAGACTGGAGTGCAGTGGCATAATCTCGGCTCACTACAGCCTCTGCCTCCCAGGTTCAAGCGATTTTCCTGCCTCAGTCTCCCAAGTAGCTGAGATTACAGGCACGCTAACATGCCCGGCTAATTTTTGTAGTTTTAGCATAGACAGGGTTTCACCATGTTGGCCAGGCTGGTCTTGAATTCTTGACCTCAGGTGATCCACCCGCCTTCCAAAGTGCTGGGATTACAGGCATGAGCCACCGCACCTGGCCCAGTGTCTCTATTTGTAAAGTAGGGATACTATCTTAACACCCAGGGAGGCTATAAGAACTAAATGAGACAGGCTAGTGCTTGTCTTATGAGTATTTTTTAACTGTTGTTTTACTTCTGGTCCCAGTGAGATAATGGTGTGTGTAAGTGAGACACTGTCATCTAGGGTTCTCCTTGAAGATCGTACCTTGAAGGGCATTTCTACCGAATAAGAAATCCATGTTTATCATCTGAAAATGAAAATAAAGATACAGATAAGAGGAAAATGTGTAATAATTTAGAATCTCCATCATTCTACCACCAGAAATAACATTGTTAACAAGAGCACCATGATACTAGTTTGAAATTCACATCCATATCCCATTGTGGGGGACACTGCCTTCTTATTTGAGGAGCCTCAATCAAAGTTGTGGGGCCTAAAGTTTAATTTTTATTGTTGTTAGGGGTATTATTTTACAACGAAAAATAATTCTCAATGCAGTTTCTCAAATGGTGGGATTCCTTATCTTCCACTGGGCCCATTCCCCCATGTAGACACAAGGTTATGATTAGGTAACTGTAAGATGTGAAATAGTAAACACTAGAGGCAAGTATATGGTCTGTTCCTAGATTAGAAGCCCCAAATCTTTATCTGATACCCTGATGAAGTTGGAGCATGGGACTATCTTCCTGTCTACTGTATTTGCCCAAAGCCTAGAGCAGAATGGACGTGAGAAAGGACCTCTTTTCTGTTTACTGTACCCTGACCTTTGCTCCTATGTTAAGCCTTGAAAATTGAGAGGTACTCTGGTGGGAGATTAACAGGAGGAAAAATAAATTGTTCACTTCTTTGTCTGTCTCTCCCCTCATAAAAGACAAAACACTTCATTCCCAAGACACTCTTATCATCTTTTCTATCCTGTTTATATCAATGCATGGCAGAGGCCATTCTTGGAGTTACAAAGGGAGCTGGTTAAGATATGTGGCTAACAATCCTCATTTTTCCTGTCTTAACTCAGCAGACTTAACCGTCAGACTGATGGTTAGCTAATTTGTTGCTCTGCCCATTCAGCATTGGTGAACAACCTAAGTCATGTCTGTACTTCTGTGAGCGTCTAAGCCTTGCCTCAGCTTTTTTGTATTTACTTAGAAATAATGTCCTGGGTGGCCAGGCGCGGTGGCTCACACCTGTAATCTCAGTACTTTGGGAAGACAAGGCAGGTGGATCACCTGAGGTCAGGAGTTCGAGACCAGCCTGGCCAACATGGTGAAACCCCGTCTCTACAAAAAAAAAAAATACAAAAATTAGCTGGGCGTGGTGGCGGGCGCCTGTAATCCCAGCTACTCACGAGGCTGAGGTAGGAGAATCACTTGAACCCAGGAGGGGTGGGTTGCAGTGAGCCGAAATCGCACCATTGCACTCCAGCCTGGGTGAAAAGAGCAAGGCTTTGTCTTAAAAAAAAAGAAAAAAGAAAAGAAAGAACGTCCTGGGTTTATTTCCTGGGGCTTTTCTAGGTTCAGTGGATCATTCAGGGATATATATAAGCACATATACATGTTACTTACATTTACCTGAAGACTGTCCTATGGTGTGGCCAAAAAGCCACCTTTAAATTTTATTTCTCATCTTGGGAGGCTGGAGCGAAAGGATCACTTGAGGCCAGAAGTTCAAGACCAGCCTGAGCAACATAGCAAGACCCTCATCTTAAAAAAAAAAAATTAAAAAATTAGCTGGGTGTGGTTTCACTTGCCTATAGTCCCAGCTAACTATCCAAGCAGGAGGATGGCTTGAGCCCAGGAGTTTGAGGCTGTAGTGAGCTATGATTGTGTTACTATGCCCCAGCTGGGATGATAGAAAGAGACCCCATCTCCAAAAAATTCTATTTACTGTCTTAAAATGTGCTTCACTAGCTGGGTGTGGTGGCTCACGCCTGTAATCCCAGCACTTTCTGAGGCCGAGGCGGGCGGATCACAAGGTCAGGAGATCAAGACCACCCTGGCTAACACGGTGAAACCCCTCGATGATAGTTCCATTCGATTCTATGCGATGATTCCATTCCATTCCATTGGAAGATGATTCCATTCGAGACCATTCGATGATTGCATTCAATTCATTCGATGACGATTCCATTCAATTCCGTTCAATGATTCCATTAGATTCCATTTGATGATGATTCCATTCGTCTCTACTAAAAATACAAAAAAATTAGCCGGGCGTGGTGGCAGGCGCCTGTAGTCACAGCTATTTGGGAGGATGAGGCAGGAGAATGGCGTGAACCCGGGAGGTGGAGCTTGTAGTGAGCAGAGATCGTGCCACTGCACTCCAGCCTGGGCAACAGAGCGAGACGCCATCTCAAAAAAAAAAAAAAAAAAGTGCCTCACTAGCTGTTATCCAGTTGAGCTCACCTCACAGCGTTATTTGGTGTCATGAGTATAATAACTTATCAAGATGTATGATATTGTCCCTTGCTGATACTAAAGTACATACCTTTACCAAATAATAGAGTCACAGTGATCTCATCAGTTAATGCTAATTGTGATTTTAAAATAATAATTCTTTCAGTTACCAAAAGGATAGGCACATTTGACTATGTGATTAAGCCCTTTAGAAGTCACGCTTTAAGAGAAGGTTAAGCTGTGGGAAGCTGTTAGTATTTCCTTCTAGCTATCCATTCCTTCTCTAACAATGCTTCAGTAACTTAAAAATCTAATGTGAAATGATTCCTCACAGTATGTCTCTCTAGATTGCATTGGTTAGAGCCTAATATATTTTATTTTTTACAAAAGACATAACTTTAAAAATATAGTATCAATATTATATAGTAATATAGGTTAACCACTGTATGTGTTAAGTGCTGTGTATAGGTTAAGTGTTTGGAGAATGACTCTACTGAAAATGGCTTGTTTTTCCATCTTAACTTTTCTTTCTTCCTTTATTTAAGGATTCCTAGATGAGGTTATGAAGAAGTATGGCAGTTTGGTTCCACTCAGTGAAAAAGAAGTCCTTGGAAGATTAAAAGATGTCTTTAATGAAGACTTTTCTAATAGGTATATAAATGATGCTAAAGTTAAGCCCTTGAAAATAAAATTTTTGGCATATATGACTTTTCTCTTGATTTACAGAAGAAAAGATATTTAGCAGTAAATTGAGAAGTACTCATGTTTTTTTTACCTTTTGTTTCAAAATCTTTCTCTTTCAGAAAACCATTTATCAATAGGGAAATAACAAACTATCGGGCCAGACATCAAAAATGTAACTTCCGTATCTTCTATAATAAACACATGCTGGATATGGACGACCTGGCGACTCTGGATGGTCAGAACTGGCTGAATGACCAGGTTAGTATATTGTAGTTTTTCAGTGTGGAGAAGTTGCAGAGGATGTTAGTCAATAAAATATAATCTCTAGTTTGGCTTCTCAGTTGTCTTTTGGAATAAGGATTCTTCATTCTTTACTGGTTACTTGCCCCAGGATCCAAACGGTTTGATTACTATTGGCAGTAATAATATATTATTTATTCTGATTGGGATGTACTGAATTGTATAGGGTTAGTAGCCTGGTTTTATTTATTTATTTTGTTTTTCTTTCTCCAACTTAACTGGCAGAGATAGTAAGCTGGTTTTATGTTGACTTTTTATAGGTCATTAATATGTATGGTGAGCTGATAATGGATGCAGTCCCAGACAAAGTAAGTGAAAACTTCCTCTTCTGCAGGAGAGAGTGTTCTTGTGTATTAAAATGAGTAGTTTTTTTGTTTTTACATTTGATGTAATTATCTGACATTCCTTAAATTTTTTAAAAGAAGAGTTCAATTTTTTCTTGATCATGTACTGGGCTTGATCGTAAGTTCCATCAAATCACTTCTTTTTGTTCTTTTTGAGATGGAGTTTTGCTCTTGTTGCCCAGGCTGGAGTGCAGTGGCGTGATCTCGGCTCATTGCAACCTCCACCTCCCGGGTTCAAGCGATTCTCCTGTCTCAGCCTCCCGACTAGCTGGGATTATAGGCATGTGCCACCATGCCTGGCTAATTTTTGTATTTTTAGTAGAGACAGGGTTTCATCATATTGGTCAGGCTGGTCTCGAACTCCTGACCTCAGGTGATCCACCTCTGCCTTGGTCTCCCAAAGTGCTGGGATTACAGGTGTGAGCCACAGCGCCTGGCCCCATCAAATCACTTCAGCATAAGAAAATCACTGTGCAATTGTTTTCCTATTTATTTGTGTTAGGGTAGGTATGTTTGTTGATATCTGGAGAGGGCCTTTTTTTGGTGGGGAGATGTGCAAAAGGGACTGGCTAAGCTTTTTACATTTATGTATTTATTTTACTTTTTTTTTTTTTTGAGACCGAGTCTTGCTCTGTCATCCAGACTGGAGTGTAGTGGCGTGGTCTTGGCTCACTGCAACCTCCACCTCCTGGGTTCAAGCAATTCTCCTGCCTTAGCCTCCCAAGTAGCTGGGATTACAGGTGTGTGCCACCATGCCTGGCTAATTTTTGTATTTTTAGGAGAGACAGGTCTTACCATGTTGGGCAGGCTGGTCTCGAACTCCTGACCTCTGGTGATCCGCCCACCTCCCCCTCCCAAAGTGCTGGGATTAAAGATGTGAGCCACCATGCCAGGCCAGCTTTTTACATTTAACTTAAAATCTTGCTCTCTTTAAAAATGTAAAAAAAAACTCATCTTTCATTTTTCCTTAGATAAATCTTTGATACTCAGTTCAAATACAGATTGAACCCTCATAAACTCTAAATTCTCTTAAGAGTTTTGTTACATATCAAAACTATTTTTTTACTTAATGTATTTTTCTGAGTACACAAATGCCTGATGGGTGCAAAAATTTCCAAGTGCTGTATAAAACTTACCAATCTAATAAAGTAACATAAATACTAAAAAGTCAGATTCTGATACCGTTTATGAATATAGAAAATGTTTTATGACTTTCCACTTAAATTATAAATCTGTTATACATTTATAAATTGGAATCATGAGGCTAATCTGCTAGATGCTCTATTGTCAAATTCTCTTAATCATCAGAAAGTTTAAACAATATAGATTATCTTTAACATAAAAGTATTAATTTCAAGGGTTTCATTTACCACCATTGTACATTTAATTCTAAACATTCATGGAGTCAAAAGGACACTTAACTAAGGCAGTGGTTCTCAAAGCATGGTCCCCATACTAGCAGCATCAGTATCCCCTGAGAACTTACTAGAAATGCACATTCTGAGACTCCATCCCACACCTACTGAATCAGAAACTGGAGGTGGGGGACCACCGATTTGTGTTTTGACAAGCTCTCTAGATGATTCTGATGGACACCAATTTTGAGAATCACTGCTCTAGAGACAGCTACTATAAGCTCTTTCTTATTTATTTGTTTTTATTAAAATTATAAAACATAACCTTCTTTTTAGAGACACTAAAAAGACACTCCAGGCTGGAATGCAGTGGCACAGTCATAGCTCACTGTAGCCTTGAACTCCTGGGCTCAAGCAATCTTCTCGCCTTAGCCTCCCAGGTAGCTGGGACTAGAGGCATGTGCCACTGTGCTACTATACCCAGCTAGTTTATTTTTATTTTTGGTAGAGCCAGGAGTCTTGCTATGTTGCCCAGGCTAGCTTGAGCTCTGGGCTTAGCTAAAGTAATCCTCTCACCTCTGCCTCTCAAAATTGCTGGGATTAGAAGTGTGAGCCACTATGTCTGGCAGCTCTTTCAGTCTGTATGTTAAGCTGCATGGTTATCAAAAGAATGTGCCTCAGAACCGTCTGAAAGGTTTATAAAACCAGATTACTGGGCCCTGCCTTCAGAGTTTCTGCTTTAATAGGTCTGGGATGAGGCCTGATAATTTGGATTTCTAACAAGTTCCTAGATGATGCTGACACTACTGGTCAGGTGACCACACTCTGAGAACCACAGTGCTAAGGGAACAGTTTTATCACCTCAAGTTACTGAATGAGCACTTTAAGATCACAATATGTTTACCCTCTAAGATGAGCTGATATACCACTTACTTATAAGTCAGAAATTCAAAGCCAAGGACGCAGGACCTGATACTCTGTACAGCCAGGGTAATTCTGTGGTACTAGAAATAATCATGCCAAGGCCTTTTTATGGTTACTGTAACAACA
Organism: Homo sapiens; assembly: GCF_000001405.40. Taxonomy (NCBI): domain Eukaryota; kingdom Metazoa; phylum Chordata; class Mammalia; order Primates; family Hominidae; genus Homo; species Homo sapiens. Next base: position 196,902,854 of record NC_000003.12, read on the forward strand.
GGAGTCTCTAAATCCACATCCTTCACATGGAGTTAGTTTTGTAATCCATCTCCCTTGAGTTCAAGGTAATTGTTACCTCATTTTTTCATAGCCTCTTTCAGCTTTTTCACCTGATTTAGAGAGATTTGTCAGGTTGCTTCTCTACTTGATTGGATTCAGGTAGTCTATTTACTGCCCCATTCCAAAGCTGACTATAGACCACAGCTGTAAGGTCATTCCAATAAAACTTTGGAACAGCATTTTCTGTAAACCATGTAATGTATTTTCTATATTTTGATCATTATTATCATTATTATTATTTTTTGAGACGGAGTTTTGCTCTGGTGCCCATGCTGGAGTGCAGTGATGTGATCTCAGCTCACTACAACCTCTGCCTCCCAGGTTCAAGAGATTCTCCTACCTCAGCCTCCTGAGTAGCTGGGATTGCAGATGGGTGCCACCACGCCCGGCTAATTTTTGTATTTTTAGGAGAGACAGTGTCTCACCATGTTGGCCAGGCTGGCCTCGAACTCCTGACCCCAGATGATCCACTTGCCTCCTCAATCATTGTTTTTATGAAGAAATTTTTCCTTCCTTTTTGTCTGCTTTACATTCAAACATTTTAAAATTTCCTCTTTTGAAGTTAAATCTGGGCACAGCCTAATATAATCTGGTTGCTTGTGTTTGTTGTCTGTTCTAGGTTCACTTCTTCAACAGCTTTTTTCATAGACAGCTGGTAACCAAAGGATATAATGGAGTAAAAAGATGGACTAAAAAGGTATTCTCTTTATTTCTTTTTTATTCCAAATTTGAAACGCAGATGATAAACCACTTTGTGTGGAAGGATAAGTACTTTAATGCCAATACGATGTTAAGTAGAAACAGACTTTTTAATGTGACAAGTTTTAAATTTGTTTCTTTTAAATCTTATTGTTTGAAAGACCTTAATTGCCTACTGGTCCCAATTATAGTGGTAGAACAGTGGGATGATAAAGAAGGAGCTGCCATCATTTGGTGTTATCTGGTAGGCTTGTCAGCAGACAGCAGAAGCTTTCAACAATTTTTTGCTGGTGCTGGGCACGGTGCCTCGCACCTGTTGTCCCAGCTACTTGGGATGCTGAGACCAGAGGATCACTTGAGCACAAGCATTTGAGGCCAGCTTGGGCAACATAGCCAGATCCTGTCTCTTAAAATGTTAACTGATCCATCAGGAGAAATAACTTTTATATCACAATCTATTCATAAAATCTTATACATACATGTAATTGAAATAATTTCCAAAAACCATGTACCTAATTTACTATGTATGATGTACTCTAGTCAGAGAGTGGTAAGTGCTATTTGCTATGGAAACATCAGAACACAGTATGAGAATACAAGGTAACTGGGATAGGGTAGCAGGAGGAAGATGGGCTAGTTCTTTTAGATAGGCTTGTCAGCAAAGGCCTCTTTGAAGAGATCCCATTTCACTGAAAACTGTGAAGATCAGAGGAGCATTCCCAGTAGATGGAAGAGTGAATGTTAAAGGCCCTGAAGCAGAAGTGAGTTTGGTATATTGGAGTATTACACACATGAGATCAGGGAAGGAGGCAGGGATCAAGTCATGTGGCGCCATATAGGCCCTGGTAAAGAGTTTGGATCATGAGGGCAATTTGAAGACATTAGAGAGTTTAGGCCAGGTGCGGTGGCTCACGCCTGTAATCCCAGCACTTTGGGAGGCTGAGGTGGGCGGATCACTGAAGGTCAGGAGTTTGAGATCAGCCTGGCCAATGTGGCGAAACCCTATCTCTACTGAAAATGCAAAAATTAGCCGGGCTGTGATGGTGGGCGCCTGTAACCCCAGCTACTTGGGAGGCTGAGGTGGGAGAATCGCTTGAACATGGGAGGTGGAGGTTGCAGTGAGCCGAGATTGCACTATTGCACTCCAGCCTTGGTGACAGAGCGAGACTCCATGTCAAAAGAAAATTAAATAAAAAATAAAAATGAAGACATTAGAGGGTTTAAGCAGCAGGCAAGGAGTGTGTATGAGTGTGTGTGTAAATGATAGATAGGATTGTCCTTAGCAACATTGATTCATTCATTCATCATTTATTTATTGATTTATTTTTTGAGATGGAGTCTTTCAGGCGCTATCTTCGCTCACTGCAACCTCTGCCTCCTGGGTTCAAGCGATTCTCCTGCTTCAGCCTCCTGTGCAGCTGGGATTACAGTCACCTGCCACCGTACCCGGCTAATTCTTGTATTTTTAATAGAGACGGGATTTCACTATGTTGGCCAGGCTGGTCTCTAACTCCTGACCTCAGGCAGGTGATCTGCCCGCCTCAGCCTCCCAAAGTGTTGGGATTACAGGGTAAGCCACCGTGCCCGGCATTAAACATTTATTGAGTACCTGTTATGTGCCTATATGGAAAAACTTTTTTCCTTTGCTGTCACACCACAACAGTAGTCAGCACAGAAGACTTCTGTGACCAAAGCAAGCAAGCAAGCAGTTCTGCAGCGACCACTGGCTGGATGCCCTCTAATTCAATTCCGACCTGTCTACCTGGAGACAGTGCCACGTCCCATAGTTTGAGGGCTCATGCCTCAAGAGTGCCCCCCACCCACTTCAGACACCAGTTGCAAGTCCAGGCTTCTGAAACTTCTGACCAACAGACTTCAAGTGAGGGTTCCCATGCCGCCCTCCTTGAATTTGATTAATTTGCCGGAGCGGTTCACAGAATTCTGGGAAGTTCTTACCTACATTTAGCAGTTTATTATATAGGATATTACAAAGGATTCAGATGAAGAGATGCATGGGAAGAGATGTAGGGGAGTGGGCACAGGGATTCTCTAGGACCTCCACAGGCACATCACCCTCCAGGAACCTCCACATATTTAGTATCCAGAAGCTCTCCCAGTGCAGTCAGTTTTTATGGAGGCTTCATTACATAGGCGATTGACTAAACCAGTGACCATTGGTTAACCTTTAGCTTCTCTTCTCTCCCTGGTGGTTGGGGGGTTGGGTGGGGCTGAAAGTCACAATCCTCTAATTCTGCCTTGCTCTTATCCTAAAGCCACCTAGCAGCTGCCAGCCATCAGTTAATCATCAACATACAAAAAGACATCACTTTGGGCCTGGGTCATGTCCCCGTAATCCCAGCACTTTGGAAGTCTGAGGCAGGCAGATCACTTGAGGTCAGGAGTTCAAGATCAGCCTGGCCAACATGGTGGAACCCTGTCTCTACTGAAAATACAAAAATTAGCTGGGTATGGTGGCATGTGCCTGTAGTCCCAGCTACTTGGGAGGCTGAGACAGGAGAATCGTTTGAACCCAGGAGGTGGAGGTTGCTGTGAGCCGAGATTGCACCACTGCACTCCAGCCTGGGTGACAGAGCAAGACTTTCTAAAAAAAAAGAAAAAAAGACATCAGAAATTCCAAGGACTTTAGGGAGTTGTATGCCAGGAAATGAGGTCAAAGACCAAATTTATTATTTTACAGTATCATAGTGCCAGACATTATAGTAAATCAAGAAATAAAGAGGTAAGTAAAACAATATTAGAGACAGTTTTTGCTTTCACAAAGTCTGCAGTCTAGTGGTGGAGACAGCACCTACCACAGTTTGTATTTATATTTTTGGTGGTGTAATTATTTGTTTAGTGGGTACAAAAGAAAAGTACTACAGGAGTGTATTGGAATGCAGGTTTGGTTAACCTAGCCTGAGGGTAAGGGAATGTTTCTCATAGGAAGTAATATTTAAGCAGAAATATCAAAGATGAATACAAGTTAACTAGGTAAATGGAGAATAGGGGTATGTGAAACATAGGCAGAAGGAATAAGTATCTGGTAGAAGAATGGGAAAAGGCTAGTGTAGCTGAAATGCAGAGAGTTAAGAAGACAGTGGCATGAAGTGTACCTGATCCACAGATCAGGGCCTTGAGGTTTGTATTTTGGATTTTATCCTAAATGTAATAGGAAACCATTGAATGGTTTTTAGTGACATTATCCACTTTGTAGTCTTTGTTCTAACAGTACTGAAGAAGATGGATGGGTATGGGAGCAAAGTTGATGTGGGCAGAACAGGAGACCATTTCAGATTCATGGTACTTTGAAGTAGAATGATAGCAGGAGAGATGGAAGATGAGTGTGATGTAGGAAGTAAAATTAACAGGATTTGGTGATAAGTTGGTTATGGAGATGAAGGACAAGGAAGTGTGAAAGATGACTTCCAAGTATGTGACTTGTATGACTGGACGGCCTATGGTTGTATTTACATTAGAAAAATGTAGGACAACTAGTAGAGGATTGTTCAAATTTAAAATGTACAGTCATATAATTGGATGCTACTTAAGCAGGAAAAGCTGTGTAGATAATGAACGATGGGCCGGGCACAGTGGCTCACATCAGTAATCCCAGCACTTTGAGGGGCCGAGGCAGGCGGATCACGAGGTCAGGAGATAGAGACCATCCTGGCTAACACGGTGAAACCCCATCTCTATTAAAAATACAAAAAAATTAGCCGGGCGTGGTGACGGATGCCTGTAGTCCCACTTACTCAGGAGACTGAACCCAGGAGGCGGAGCTTGCAGTGAGCCAAGATCGCACCACTGCACTCCAGCCTGGGCGACAGAGAGACTCCGTCTCAAAAAAAAAAAAAAAAGATAATGGAAGATGCTTATATTCCATTTGGGGTGGGAAAAATTACAAGCAGTGTGGGCAAAAAATATACATTCATGGAAAAGTATCTGAATGATAAACATGAGAGTGAAAGAATAAAGTCAAATATGTGAGTTGTTTCATTAAATAATAAACTAAATTATTCCTTCCTCTAGATCAGGGGTGTCCAATCTTTTGGCTTCCCTGAGCCTCACTGGAAGAAGAAGAGTTGTCTTGGGCCACACATAAAATACACCAACACTAACAATAGCTGATGAGCTAAAACAAAAAAAATTGCAAAAAAGATCTCATAAAAGAAAGTCTACAAATTTGTGTTCGGCTGCATTCAGAGCCGTCCTGGGCTGCATGCTGCCCGTGGGCTGTGGACTGGACAAGCTTGCTGTAGATCCTCTGAGATTGGGTTAAGTAAAAAAAAAAAAAACCCAGGTTTATGCTGAATATAAGAAGTATACATAAAATAATATGAAAAAGAAAGGTTGAAAATGAAGTGACATTTAAAGAGGCTGGGCGCTGTGTCTCACATCTGCAGTCTGAACACTTTGGGAGGCCTAAAATTACTGTAGATGGGAGGATTGCTTGAGCCCAAGAGTTTCAAATCAGCCTAGGCAACCAAGCGAGACCCCGTTTCTATAAAAAATTTAAAAAACTTAGCTGGCCATGGTGGCAGCCTGTGGTCCCAGTTATCCAGAAGGCTGCGGTGGGAGGATCACTTGAGCCTGGGAGGTCGAGGCTGCAGTGAACCCTGATCACGCCACTGCACTCCTGCCTGGGTGACAGACTGAGACCTTGTCTCAATTTAAAACAAATAAAAAAGGCAACTACAGGAAAGTTAAACAACCTGTTCCTGAATAACTCCTGGGTAAATAAAGAAATTAAGGCAGAAATCAAGAAGTTCTTTGAAACCAATGAGAACAGAGAGACAATGTACCAGAATCTCTGGGACACAGCTAAAGCAGTGTTAAGAGGGAAGTTTATAGCACTAAATGCCCACATCGAAAAGCTGGAAAGATCTCAGATCAACATCCTGACATCACAATTAAAAGAACTAGAGAAGCGGCTGGGCGTGGTGACTCATGCCTGTAATCCCAGCACTTTGGGAGGCTGAGGCGGGTAGATCACCTGAGGTCAGGAGTTTGAGATGAGCCTGACCAACATGGAGAAACCCCATCTCTACTAAAAATACAAAATTGGCTGGGTGTGGTGGCACATGCCTGTAATCCCAGCTACTTGGGAGGCCGAGGTAGGAGAATCACTTGAACCCGGGAGGTGGAGGTTGTGGTGAGCTGAGATTGCGCCATTGCACTCCAGCCTGGGCAAGAAGAGTGAAACTCTGTCTCAAAACAAACAAACAAAAACAACAACAAGGAAATAGAGAAGCAAGAGCAAACAAATCCAAAAGCTAGCAGAAAACAAGAAATAACTAAGATCAGAGCAGAACTGAAGGAGATAGAAACACAAAAAAACCCTTCAAAAAATCAGTGAATCCAGGAGCTGGATTTTTTGAAAAAATTAACAAAAAATACCTCTAGCTAAACTAAAGAAGAAAAGAGAGAAGAATCAAATAGACACAATAAAAAATGATAAAGGGGATATCACCATTGACCCCACAGAAATATACAAATTACTATCAGAGAATACTATAAAGACCTCTACACAAATAAACTAGAAAATCTAGAAGAAACGGATAAATTCCTGGACACATACACCTTCCCAAGACTAAATCAGGAAGAAGTGGAATGTCTGAATAGACCAATAACAAATTCTGAAATTGAGGCAGTAATTAATAGCCTACCAACCACAAAAAGCCCAGGACCAGATGGATTCACAGCCAAATTCTACCAGAGGTACAAAGAGGAGCTGATACCATTCCTTCTGAAACTATTTCATAACAATTGAAAAGGAGGAACTCCTCCCTAGCTCATTTTATGAGGCCGGCATCATCCTGATACCAAAACCTGGCAGAGACACAAAAAAAGAAAATTTCAGGCCAATATCCCTGATGAACATCGGTGCGAAAAATTCTCAATAAAATGCTGGCAAACCAAATCCAGCAGCACATCAAAAAGCTTATCCACCATGATCAAGTTGGCTTCATCCCTGGGATGCAAGGCTGATTCAACATATGCAAATCAGTAAACATAATCCGTCATATAAACAGAACCAGTGACGAAAACCACATGATTATTTCAGTAGATGCAGAAAAGACCTTCGATAAAATTCAGCATCCCTTCATTTAAAAACTCTCAATAAACTAGGTATTCATCAAACATATCTCAATAATAAGAGCTATTTATGACAAACCCATAGCCAATATCAGTGGGCAAAAGCTGGAAACATTCCCTTTGAAAACTGGCACAAGACAAGGATGCCCTCTCCCATCACTTCTATTCAACATAATATTGGAAGTTCTGGCCAGGGCAATCAGGCAAGAGAAAGAAATACAGGGTATTCAGATAGAAAGAGAGGAAGTCAAATTGTCTCTTGCAGATGGCATGATTCTATATTTAGAAAATGCCATCGTCTCAGCCCCAAAACCCCTTACGTTGATAAGAAACTTTAGCAAAGTCTCAGGATACAAAATCAATGTGCAGAAATCACAAGCATTCCTATACGCCAGCAATGGACAAGCAGAGAGCCAAATCATGAATGAACCCCCATTCACAATTGCTACAAAGAGAATAAAATACCTAGGAATACAGTTTATAAGGGATGTGAAGGACCTCTTCAAGGAGAACTACAAACCACTGCTCAAGGAAGTAAGAGAGGACACAAACAAATGGAAAAATATTCCATCCTCGTGGATAGGAAGAACCAGTATCTTGAAAATGGCCATACTGCCCAAAGTAATCTTTTTTTTTTTTTTTTTTTTTTTTTTTTTGAGATGGAGTCTCGCTCCATTGCCCAGGCTGGAATGCAGTGGCATGATCGTGGCTCACTGCAACCTCCACTTCCCGGGTTCAAGCAATTCTCCTGCCTCAGCCTCCCGAGTAGGTGGGACTACAGGCATGCACCACCATGCCCAGCTAATTTTTTGTATTTTTAGTAGACACAGGGTTTCGCCGTGTTAGCCAGGATGGTCTCGATGTCCTGACCTCGTGATCCGCCTGCCTCGGCCTTCCAGAGTGCTGGGATTATAGATGTGAGCCACCACTCCTGGCTGCCCAAAGTAATTAATAGATTTAATGCTATTCCCATCAAACTACCATTGGCATTCTTCACAGAATTAGAAAAAACTACTTTAAAATTCATATGGAAACAAAAAAGAGCCTGTATAGCCAAGACAATCCTAAGCAAAAAGAACAAAGCTGTAGGCATCACATACCTAACTTCAAACTATACTACAAGGCTACAGTAGCCAAAACAACGTGGTATTGGTACCAAAACAGGCATATAGACCAATGGAACAGAACAGAGACCTCAGAAATAACACCACACATACACAACCATCTCATCATTGACAAACCCGACAAAAGCAATGGGGAAAGGATTCCCTATTTAATAAATGATGCTGGGAAAACTGGCTAGCCATATGCAGAAAACTGAAACTGGACCCCTTCCTTACACCTTATACAAAAATTAACTCAAGATGAATTAAAGACTTAATTGTAAAACACAAAATCGTAAAAACCCTAGAAGAAAACCTAGGCAGTACCATTCAGGACATAGGCGTGGGCAAAGACTTCATGACAAAAACACCAAAAGCAATTGCAGCAAAAGCCAACATGGATTCTAATTAAACTAAAGAGTTTCTGCTCAGCAAAAGAAACTATCATCAGAGTGAACAGGCAACCTATAGAATTGGATAAAATTTTTGCAGTCTACCCACCTGACAAAGATCTAATATCCAGAATCTACAAGGAACTTAAGCAGATTTACAAGAAAAATAAACCATCAGAAAGTGGGCAAAGGATATGAACAGACACTTCGCAAAAGAAGACATTTATGTCTGTAGTCTCAGCTACTCGAGAGGCTGAGACAGGAGAATTGCTTGACCTGGGAAGTGGAAGTTGCAGTGAGCCAAGATTGCGCCACTGCACTCCAGCCTGGGCGACAGAGTGAGACTTTGTCTCAAAAAAAAAAAAAAAAGGACATTTATGTAGCCAAAAAACATATGAAAAAACCTCATCAGTTGGGCGCGGTGGCTCACGCCTGTAATCCCAGCACTTTGGGAAGCTGAGGCAGTTGTGGTGGTGGGGGCCTGTAATCCCAGCTACTCGGGAGGCTGAGGCAGGAGAATCGCTTGAACCTGAGAGGCAGAGGTTGCGTGAGCTGAGATTGTGCCATTGCACTCCAGCCTTAGCAACAAGAGCAAGACTCCGTCTCAAAAAAAAACAAAACAAAAACAGCTAATCACTGATCATTAGAGAAATGCAAATCAAAACCACAATGAGATACCATCTCATGCGAGTCAGAAATGACAATTATTAAAAAGTCAAGAAACAATAGAAGCTGGCAAGGCTGTGGAGACATAGGAATGCTTTTACACTGTTGGTGGGAACGTAAGTTAGTTCAACCATTGTGGAAGACAGAGTGGCAATTCCTCAAGGATCTAGAACCAGAAATATCATTTGACCCAGCAGTCCTATTACTGGGTATATACCCAAAGGAATATAAATCATTCTCTATAGAGACATATGCGTGTGTATATTTATTGCAGTACTCATAGCAAAGACATGGAACCAACCCAAATGCCTATCAGTGATAGACTACATAAAGAGAATGTGGTACATACGCACCATGGAATACTATGCAGCCATTTAAAGAATGAGATCATGTCCTTTGAAGGGACAAGGATGAAGCTGGAAGCCATCATCCTCAGCAAACTAACAGAGGAACAGAAAACCAAACACTGCATGTTCTCACTCATAAGTGGGAGTTGTACAATAAGAACACATGGACATAGGGAGGGGAACAACATACACCGGGGCCTGTCAGGGGGTTGGGGGCAAAGAGAGGGAGAGCATTAGGACAAATACCTAATGCATGCAGGGCTTAAGACCTAGATGACAGCGGGGTGCGGTGGTTCATGCCTGTAATCCAGCCTGGGTGACAGAGCAAGACTCTGTCTCAATTAAAAAGAAAAAAACAAAACTAGATGACGGATTGATAAGTGCAGCAAACCACCACGGCACATGTATACCTATGTAACAAACCTGCCTGTTCTGCACATGTATCCCGGAACTTTAAAATTTTTTGAAAATTCAAGTTTTCATTAAAAGAAAAAATAAAAGGTACTAGGCAGCTGGGCGTGGTGGTGTGTGCCTGTAGTCTCTGCTACTCCGGAGGCTGAGGTGGGAGGATTGCTTGAGCCCAGGAGTTTGAGACTGCGGTGAGCAGTGGTCACACCACTGTACCCCAGCCTGGGTGACAGACCTTGCCTCTAAAAATAATAATTTGTTTGAAAATTGTAGAAATTTAAAGGTACTAGACAAATTGAAACAAAAACAGAAAGGAATATTAATCATATTAATAGCAGTTGAAATAGAATTTAAGGTGAGAAGCAAATTGTGTAATTATCAGATTTCAATATAAAGGAGATATAATGACCAATCTTTATGCACCAAAGCACACAGTTGCTAAATATGTGTAATACAATTAAAACAGAAACAAGAGGACCTTGGTAAAATAGTGATAGTGGCAGACTTTTCTCATAAGTGGATAAATCTAGTAGACAATAAAGACATATACAAAAATTACAGTCAATATAATTGATTTAATAGATGTTTATGCTCCTTAAGAGAATATACATTTATTGCTATGGTTCAGGAATATTTGTAAAAATTGAACATGTACTTAGCCACAAAGAAAATTATTTTTTATTAGCCGGGCAAGGTGGCATTTGGGAGCCCGAGGCAGGTGAATCATGGGGTCAGGAGTTCAAGACCAGCCTGGCCAAGATAGTGAAACCTCTTTTCTACTAAAAATCCAAGAAAATTAGCTGGGTGTGGTGGTGTGCGCCTGTAATCCCAGCTATTCGGGAGGCTGAGGCAGAGAATTTCTTAAACCCAGGAGGCGGAGGTTGCAGTGAGCTGAGATCATGCCACTGCACTCCAGCCTGGGTGACAGAGTGAGACTCCATCTCAAAAAAAAAAAACAAAAAAAACTAGTAAGACCCTGAACTCAGTAGAAGACTCAGTGATGAAAAGGTTTATAAGAAAGGCTTTTTTTTTTTTTTTTTTTTTTGATGGAGTGTTGCTCTTTTGCCCAGGCTGGAGTGCAGTGGCACAATCTTGGCTTGCTGCAACCTCTGCCTCCTGGGTTCAAGCGATTCTCCTGCCTCAGCCTCCCAAGTAGCTGGGATTACAGGTACACACCACCACACCTGGCTAATTTTTGTATTTTTAGTAGAGACAGGTTTTGCCACATTGGCTAGGCTGGTCTCGAACTCCTGGCCTCAAGTGATCTGCCTGCCTCAGCCTCCCAAAGTGCTGGGATTACAGGCATGAGCCACTGTGCCTGGCCAAGAAAGGCTCTTAAACATATAAAAAGTTGCATAACTTCACAGTAAAAGAAAAGCAAATGAAAACCACACTGAGTGACAGATAAATGCAGTAAGTTAATCTTGATTGGATCCTGGACTGGAAGAGATGCAATATTTTGGGTAAATTAGGGGAAATTTTAGTATAGACTAATATATTCAGGGGTCAGTGATCTTTTTCTGAAAGAGCCAGATAATAAATACTTTGGATTTTGCAGACCTTATGGTCTTTGATTTATCTACTGACCTGTTACAGCACAGAAGCAGATGTAGATAATACCCAAGTAATGAGTGTGGCTGTGTTTCAATTAAACTTAATAAAAACTGGCAGTGGGCCATACTTGGTCATTCATGCATTAGATGATATTAGTAAACTGATGTTAAATATCTTGTGTGTTCAGAGATAGTGAGATTGTGGTTATATAGGAGAAAACATCTAAAGTAGGTAGGGGTAAAATATTGTGATTGATGTCTCCCTCCAAAAAAATTGTACAAGTATATGCAAAAAAATAAAAAGCCAGGCAAAGTGGTAGGTGCTTATAGTTCCAGCTACTCCGGAGGCTGAGGCAGGAGCATTACTTGAGCCCAGAGGTTTGCTTTAAAAAAAAAAAAAAAAAAAAAAATATATATATATATATATATATATATGTCTACACACACATACATATGTGTGTGGGGAGGGGTTTTATAAGAATTGGTTAAGCTGAGAGGAGGAGGAGCAAGATGGCAGAATAGTACCCTTCAACCATCGTCCTCCTGCAGGAACACCAAATTGAACAACTATCCATGCAACAAAATACCTTCATAAGAACCAGAAATCAGGTGAGTGATCCTAGTACCTGGTTTTAACAGCATCTCAAGGAAAGAGGCATCGAAGAGGGTAGGAAAGACACTCTTGCATTGCCTACACCACCCCTTCCCTATCCCCTGGCAGTGTGCGGAGATAGAATCTGTGTGCTTGCAGGAGGAAGAGCAAAATGATTGTGGGACTTTGCATTGAAACTCCAGTGCTGTCATATCACAATGGAATACAACACAGGGCAGAATTCTGCCAGCACCCATGGAGGGAGCATTCAGACTAGCCCCAGCCAGAGGAGAATCTTCCGCCCCAGCGGTAGGAACCTGAGTTGCAGCTAGTTCCACCACCAGTTGAGTAAAGTGGACTTGGGTCCTGAATAAATTTGAAAGGCAGTCAGGCCACAGGACTGCATTCTTTTGGCACGTCCTGGCACTGTGCTGGGGTCAGAGCCTGTGGATTTGGGGTGCACACAACTCAGACACCAGCTCTGGTAGTGAAGGGATTGCCACTCCCACAACTTGAAGCAGTGGAGCTTGGGGAGGTGCTCTTTCCATTTGGGGAACGGAGAGGAAAGAGTACAGAATATTGTGTCTTGCAACTTGAGCACTAGCTGAGCCACAGTAAAATAAAGCACCAGTCATTCCTGAAGCCTCCAATTCTAGGCCCTAGACCCTGGATGGTATTTATAGCCCCACCCTGGGCCAGAAGGGAACCTACTGGCCCTGAAGGGAAGGGCCCAGTCTTGGAAGAATTTACCACCTACTGAGTAAAGAGCCCTTGGACCTTGAATAAATATCAGCGGTCGCCAGGCAGGAGTTGCCACATGCCTTGGGCAAGACCCAGTACTATGCTGTGTTCAGTTGTGACCCAGTCCAGTGCCAGCTGTGGTAGCCATGGGAGTGCTTGCACCACCCCTCCCTCAACTCCAGGCAGCCCATCATGGAGAGAGAGACTATTTGGGGGAAAGTGAAGGAAGAGAATGAGAGATCGCCTAATAATCTAGGAAATTCCTCTCCATCTTACCCAAGCACACCAAGGTGAGACCTCCAGGAGCCTGCAAGGGTCACAGTCTTACTGGGCTTGGGGCTCCCTGTAGTGCAGATACGGCTGCAGTGACCAAAGACTTAGATTACAACACTCAATTTCCTTTGAATACCTGGAAAGCCTTCTCAAGAAGGACAGATAAAAACAAGTCCAAACTGTGAAGATAGAATAAATACCTAACTCTTGATTGCCCAGACGTCGATGAACACCTGCAGGCATCAAGAACATCCAGGAAGGCTGGGCACCTTGGGTCACGCCTATAATCTCAGCACTTTGGGAGGCTGAGGCAGGCAGATCACCTGAGGTCAGGAGTTCCAGACCAGCCTGGCCAACATGGTAAAACCCTTTCTCTACTAAAAATACAAAAAAATTAGCTGGGCGTGGTGGCGGGCACCTGTAATCCCAGCTATTCAGGAGGCTGAGGCAGGAGAATTGCTTAAACTTGAGAGGTGGAGGTTGCAGTGAGCCGAGATCATGCCATTGCACTCAAGCCTGGGTGACAAGAATGAAACTGTCTCAAAAAACAAACAAACAAAAAAAACATGCAGGAAAACATGACTTCACCAAACTAAAGGCACCAATGACCAATCTCATAGTGACAGAGATATGCAACCTCTCAGACAATTGAAAATAGCTGTTTTGAGGAAGCCCAGAGAATTTCAAAATAACACAGAGAAGGAATTTAGAATCCTGTCAGAGAAATTTAAGAAAGAGATTGACTTTTTTTTTTTTTTTTAAAGACAGAGTTTCCCTCTTGTTGCCCAGGCTGGAGTGCAATGGTGTGATCTCAGCTCACTGCAACCTCCATCTCCCAGGTTCAGGCAATTCTCCTGCCTCAGCCTCCTGAGTAACTGGGATTACAGGCATGTGCCACTATGCCTGGCTAATTTTGTATTTTTAGTAGAGACAGGGTTTCACCATGATGGTCGGACTGGTCTCAAACTCCTGACCTTGTGATCTGCCTGCCTCAGCCTCCCAAAGTGCTGGGATTTGAGTGACCACACCCAGCTGAGATTGACATATTTTTTTAAAAAAATAAGCAGAGGCTGGGCACAGCGACTCACACCTGTAATCCCAGCATTTTGGGAGGCCTAGGTGGGTAGATCACTTGAGGCAAGGAGTTTGAGACAAACCTGGCCAACATGGCAAACCCCCATCTCTACTAAAAATACAAAAATTAGCCGGGCGTGGTGACACAGGTCTGTAATCCCAGGTATGCAGAACGCTGAAGCACAAGAATCGCTTGAACCTGGGAGACAGAAATTGCAGTGAGCCAAGATCATGCCATTGCACTCCAGCCTGGGCAACAGAGCGAACTCTGTCTCAAAACAAACAAACCCCAACAAAACACAAAAAACAAATTCTGGAGCTGAAAAATTCAGTTGACAAACTAGAAAATACATCAGAATCTCTCAACAGCAAAATTGATCAAGCAGAAGAAAGAATTAGTAAGCTTAAGGACAGACTGTATGTAAATACACAGAGGAGAAAAAAGAATGAAGCAAACCTACAAGATCTAGAAGTCACAGGGCAAATCTGAGAGTTATTGGTCTTAAAGAGGAGGTAGAGAGAGAGAGAGAGGGTAGAAACTTCACTCAGATAGTAACAGAACTTTCCAAACCCAGAGAAAGGTATCAATATTCAGGTACAAGAAGGTCCTAGAACACCAAGAAGATTTAACACAAATAAGATTACCTCAAGGCATTTAATAGTCAAACTCCCAAAGGTTGAGGATAAAGAAAGAATCCTAAAAGCAGCAAGAGAAAAGGAACAAATAACATATGAAGGAGCTCCAATACATCTGGCAGCAGACATCTCAGTGGAAACTTTACAGGCCAGGAGGGAGTGGCATGTCAAGTGCTGAAGGAAAAAAACGTTTATCCTAGAATATCATACCCAGCGAAAATATACTTCAAACATGAAGGAGAAATACTTTCCCAGACAAACAAAAGCTGTGAGGGATTTTGTCAATATCAGACCTGACCTATAAGAGATGCTAAGGGGAGCTCTTTAATCTGAAAGGAAAGGACATGAGTGAGCAATAAGAAATCATCCAAAGGTACAAAACTCACTGGTATCAGTAAGTACACAAGAACAGAATGGCTTGACACACTAATTGCCGTGTGTAAGCCATATTTTGAGTAGGAAGACTACAAAGCCTATCAAAAATTATAATTACAATTTTTTAAGCGATAATATAAAAAGATAAATAGAAACAATGGCCGGGCACGGTGGCTCACACCTGTAATCCCAGCACTTTGGGAGGCTGAGGCAGGTGGATCACGAGGTCAGATCGAGACCATCCTGGCTAACACGGTGAAACTCTGTCTCTACTAAAAATACAAAAAAATTAGCCGGGCGCGGTGGCGGGCGCCTGTAGTCCCAGCTACTCGGGAGGCTGAGGCAGGAGAATGGCGTGAACCTGGGAGGCGGAGCTTGCAGTGAGCCCTGATTGTGCCACTGCACTCCAAGCTGGGCGACAGAACGAGACTCTGTCAAAAAAAAAAAAAAGTAGAAACAACAAAAAGTCAAAGAGGGGGATGGAGTTTGGAGTTAAACTGTAGAGTTCTGTTTTCGTTTTCTCTTGACTTTTTTTTTTTTTGGTAACGAGTTATCAGTTTGAAATAGTTGTTTATAAGATGTTGTTTGCAAGCCTCATGAGGCTTTTATTTTGAGGTAACCATGTAACCTCAAAACAAAAAATCTACAACAGGTATACAAAAAATGAAAAGCAAGAAATAAAACTATACTACCAGAGAAAATCATTTCAACGCAAAGAAGGAAGGGAGGAAGGGAAGACCATAAAACAAGTAGAAAGCAGATAACAAAATGGCAGTAGGAAGTCCTTACGTATCAATAATAACATTGAATGTAAATGGACTAAAGTCTCTAATCAAAAGACACAGATTGGCTGAATGGAAAGAAAAATAAGACCCAACCATATGCTGCCTACAAGAAACTCACTTCACCTATAAAGATATACACAGACTGAAAGGGCTGGAAAAACCAGAACTCCTCTTTTTCCATACAAACAGAAGCCAAAAAAAGAGAGCAGAGTAGCTATACTTAATGTCAGGTAAAATAGGTATTAAGATAAAAATTATTAAAAAGAGACAAGGTCATTATATAATGATAAAAAGGTCAGACAATATAAAAATTATGTATGTGTGTATCTATCTATCTATCTATCTGTCTCCACACATACCTAACACTGGAGCACCCAGATATATAAAGCAAATATTATCTGAGCTAAAGAGAGATACCATCACAAAGAAGGCAAGAAAACAAACAAAAACGGAAAAGAGCCAGAGAGAGAGAGAGACTCAACAATGCAATAATAGCTAGAGACCTCAACACCCCACTTTCATCATTGGACTCAAAATCAACAAAGGGCCAGGTGCAGTGGCTTACGCCTGTAATCCTATTAGTTTGGGAGACTGAAGTGGGTGGATTACTTGAGGTCAGGAGTTCAAGACTGGCCTGGCCAACTTGGTGAAGCCCTGTCTCCACTAAAAATACAAAAATTAGCCAGGGGTGGTGGCAGGCACCTGTAGTCCTAGCTATTCGGGAGGCTCAGGCAGAAGAATCGCTTGAACCCTAGCAGCGGAGGTTTTGTTGAGCCAAGATTGCACCACTGCACTCCAGCCTGGGCTACAGAGTGAGACTCCATCTCAAAACAAACAAATGAACAAAGAAACGTGACCAACCAGGGGCGGTGGCTCACGCCTGTAATCCCAGCATTTTGGGAGGCTGAGGTGGGCTGATCACATGAGGTCAGGTGTTCAAGACCAGCCTGACCAACATGGAGAAACCCCGTGTCTACTAAAAATACAAAATTAGCTGGGTGTGGTGGAGCATGCCTGCAATACCAGCTACTTGGGAGGCTGAGGCAGGAAAATCACTTGAACCCAGGAGGCGGAGGTTGCAGTGAGCCGAGATTGTGCCATTCCACTGCAGCCTGGGCAACAAGAGCAAAACTTCATCTCAAAAAAAAAAAAGGGAGGGATCAAGATTTTTTTTTTCTTAGTATACTTTTCTTTTCCAATTTCATTGCTTTGGCACCATTATAGAAAGTCAACTGATCATATATGTGTAGGTCTACTTCTGGATTTTCTGTTCTCTTACAATGATGCCTATTTTTTATGTTAACACTACACAGTATTACTGTGTCTTCATAGTGTGTCTCAAAATCACTGTGAGTCTGGCAGCTTTATCCTTTTTCCAGATTGTTTTGGCAATTCTGAGTCCTTTGCATTTTCATATAAACTTTAAAATTAGTTTGTCAAACTCTGTTGTTTAGTAAGCATGCTGGAATGATTGGGATTGTGTTTATACATTAGTTTGGGGAGAATGGACATCTAATAATAGTAAGCCTTTCAGTGTATGAACATGGTATATATCTTTGCATTTATTTTTTCTCAGTATTATCTGTAATTTTTAGTGTATACATCTTACATATACATTCTTGTTAAATGTATCCTTAAGTATTTCATGTTTCTGAATTGGCTATGAACAGAATTTTAAAAAATATTATCTTCTAGTTGTTTGTATATAGAAATACAGTTGATTTCTGTATTTTGACTTTGTATCCTCTGACCTTACCAAAGTCATTTATTACTTCTAGGAGCTTTTTTGTATATTCTGTGAAATTTTCATAGACACTTATAAGTAGTGACAGTTTTATTTCATTCTTTGCAATCTGTATGCCATTTTTTCCTTGCCTTACTGCACTGGCTAAGACTGGCTGCAGTGTTGAATAGAAGTAATGAGAGAGGACATCTTTCCCTAGTTCTCAGTCTTGGAAAGCATTCAGTTTTTCACTACTGTGTATGGTGTCAGCTGTAGGCTTTCCTATTATTCCTATTTTCCTGAGAGTTTTTAATCATAAGTAAATACTGAATTTCATCAAATGCTTTTCCTGCATCTAAGCAGATGAACCTATGGTTTTTCTTCTTTATTCTGCGAATGGGACCCAAACTGAAGGAGCAGCACCTTTCCTGAGACATGGCAGTCTCACATGGTAGCTCTGAAAGTTTCAATCTGATCGTGACATAACTTCACTTCTGCTTATTACATCCTTTTGATTAAAGCAAATCACATGACAGGACTACACTTCTCTCTTTGGGAGGGCAGAGAAGTCACATGGCAATGGGCAAGTCTGTATAATCTTCTCACAGGGAGGGCAACAAATAATTGGGGTCAGTGATACAATCTGTCATGCACATTGTTCTTAATTATGTGTACAGGTTAAATATCCCTTATTCAAAATGCTTGGGACTAGAAGTGTTTTGAACTTTGGACTCTTTCAGATTTTGTAATATTTGCATATATATAATGAGATATTTTGGGGGTAGAACCAAAGTCTAAACACAGAATTCACTTATGTTTCATATTCACCTTAGATGCATGCCCTAAAGGTAATTTACAATATTCTTAGTAATTTTGTATATGCAACAGTTTATGTACATTGACCCATCAGAAAGTAAAAATGTCACTACCTCAGCCACCCCTGTGGACAGTCTGTGGCATCATGTCAGCACTCAAAAAGTTCCAGATTTTGGAGGATTTCAGGTTTTTGGGTTAGAGTTACTCAGCCTGTATAAAGCTCTATGTATGTCTATGTTAGTGTGTTAGAAGAAGAAAATGATTTGGAAAGATAGGTGAAGTGTATCTTTTTCTGTATTTTCTAATTTTTATACAAAAATCTGTTTTACAATGTAGAAAACATTACTTTTTGAGAAGAATATACATCTGGTTTTATTTACTACTGTATTCTAAATATGATTCCTTGTTTTAGATACTCGGAATTAAAAAAAAAAGGATACTCAGAATTTTTAATCTGGAAAGGAACATTGTTTATTATTTTCACTATTTCCTTCTACCCACCTCACTCCCCCAGGTTTATGGATGCAGAAACTGAAAAGCTTAAGTGATTTTGCTCCAAGGTCATGAAGACTTAACAGAAGATTCATTTAGAGCAGGACACTATTTGAGTATCAGAAAGCGAGAAGGAAATCTTGGGAAATTAGTTTCAGAGAATATAAGGTAGTTTAAAATGTTTTAACCCAAGTAATCACCAAATTATGCTAAAAAATACCTGAGAAGGGAAATTGATTCACTCTTTTACAAATGTATGTGGAGCACTTACTACTTTATCACCCACTCTACAACTGGAATTTTGAGTGGAATAGCAAGCATTTCTAGATTGTAAAGGGATATATATTATGATATAAAATATGTGTTAGGATTGTAAAGGATGCATAAGGTATTATCAAAGATGTTTTTCTCAATTTTGACATTTGAGAGACCCAAGCAAGTAATCATAATAATAACTAAGGTATTTGGCTACTTATAATGTGCTAAACAGAGTTGTATGCATTTTACACATATTCTTTTATTACTCTTAAAAACTTCATAAGGTAGGTACTATTTTCTATCCATTTTATTAGTTGCGGAAATCAAGGTGCAAAGAAGCTAAGGAAATTACCAGTCATGTGACTAATACGTGGAAGAGCCACAATTTGAACTTGAGCAGACTTGCTTCAGAGCCCATGATCTTAACTGCTGCTTATATCATGTCTGTTGAACGAGTCTAACTTGAGCAGACTTGCTTCGGAGCCCATGATCTTAACTGCTGCTTACACCATGTCTGTAGATGCAGTTTCAGGGTCTCACTCCGTCGCCCAGGCTGGAATGCAGAGGTGTGATCATGGCTCACTGCAGCCTCGACCTCCTGGGCTCAGTGATCCTGCTGCTTCAGCCTCCCAAGTAGCTGGGACTGCAGGCATGCACCACCACACCTGGCTGATTTTTTATTTATTTATTTTTCTTGAGACAAGGTCTGGCTCTGTCACCCAGGCTGGAGTGCAGTGGTGCAATCTCTGCTCAGTGCAACCTCCGCCTCCCAGGCTCAAGCCATCCTTTGAACCTCAGCCTACCAAGTAACTGCGACTACCAGTGCACACCACCACGCCCGGTTAGTTTTTGTATTTTTTTGTAGATACAGTGTTTCGCCATGTCACCCAGGCTGGTCCTGAACTCTTGAGCTCAAACCATCTGTTGGCCTCTCAAAGTGCTGGGATTACAGGCGTGAGCCACTGAGCCCGGCCTGATTTTTTATTTTTTTGTAGAGACAGAGTCTCATTATGTTGCCCAGGCTGGTCTCAAACTCCTGGGCTCAAGCAGTTTTTCCGCCTCAGCCTCCCAATGTACTGGGATTACAGGTGTGAGCCACCGTGCCTGGCCCCTTATACCATTTTCTAATACTATGATTCCTTTCTAAACAAGAGTTGAATCCAGGTTAAATATGTATATGAGAAAATGAGGTAAACAAGGAGCCAAGTCTTCAGGCACTTGACACACAGGTTTAGTAGATTAACTGGAAAACTGTACTTTGTATATCTTTATTTTTGTATTATTGTTGTGTATTATAGCTTAATAGTTACAAGCATGGGCTTAGAGTAAGACCTGGGTTCAAATTCTGGTTCATTGCTTCCTACTTTTTTGCCCTTGTGCAGGTCAAAGGTCAGCAAATGGAAGCTGCTGGTTTTTGGTGGTTTGGATAGCCTGTGGTGATGGCTGCATTTCTTTCTCTTTTCTTGATCAGGTGGATTTGTTTAAAAAGAGTCTTCTGTTGATTCCTATTCACCTGGAAGTCCACTGGTCTCTCATTACTGTGACACTCTCTAATCGAATTATTTCATTTTATGATTCCCAAGGCATTCATTTTAAGTTTTGTGTAGAGGTAAGTTAATATACTGCCTATTTTTTCATTTATTTTGTAATTGGCCAAATAGCATCTTAGCTCTAGATAGAACAGCAGCAGTCAAAACCATATAGGAACAGTTTATGTCATGAAAATCCTCCAAAGTGTTAGCTGAGAAAAGGACTAGAAGAGGAATCTCTGGCTGAGGAGAGGATCTGTCTAGGATCCAGATCCCCCTCTGAGATACTCCACTTGGATTTTCTCTGCTTTTCCCTTAAAACTACATCTTGAATGTGGTTAGAAATTGTTTTTCTTTGATCATCTTAGAGCTAAAATTGGCCTGTATCTGCAAAATAACTCCTGTAGAATAAACTATAACCTAATGGAATCAATTGACAAAATATTAGTGTTCAGCTAATAAACAGATGGTGGGATACAAAATCAAGAAAAATGAGTAGGTTTCCGGATTTTCCTGCACTACCAAGAACCAGTAAGAAAATGTAACTGGGAATAAGATTCCATTTATAAAAGAAACAAAACATAAATAACCCAGGAATATGCCCTAGGAAGAAATGTGGAAATTCTTTATTATGAAAACTCCTAAAGCTTTAAGTACTTAAAAGAAATCTGTACAAAACTGTAAAAGTATTTGAATGAAATATGGAAAATGTTATGTTCACAGAGTGGGGAAGGACTTCTTAACATGGAACCAAAGAAAAGACATAAGGAACAATTGGATAAATTTAACCACCTAATAATTTAAAACTTCTGTATATCATAAAGTTAAAGGACAAGCAACAGACTTGGAGAAAATATGTATGATGCAAATAACAGACAATAACTATCCAGAATACATGGAAAACTCCTACAAATGAATAAGGGGAGGATAAAAGGACATAATAGAAATGGACAAAGGCTAATTTAGTAAATTTTAGGAAAAATGCAAATGACCATTTAAAAACACAGAGAGGTGTTCAGCCTTACCAGAAATTATAGAAATGCAAATGAAAACTACATCAGTTAAATTTTTTGCCCATTATGTTAGAAAAAGTGATGCTATTCAAGTGTCTATGTAAGTGTAAGGAAATAGGCATTCTCATATTTTCTGGTTAGAGTGTATAAATTGATACAGCCGCTTGGGGATAGTTGCAGTTCTCATCAGTTCTAAGTGCTTTGTAAATTAAAAAGATACAAATTCTGTTGCATATCAGTTCCATTTCTTGTTATCTACTGCATAAAAATGCTTGTATATGCACACAAGAATGAGGCATGTGCGAGGATGTTCATGGCAGCATTATTTATAATAGTGCAAAATAAAACAACCCAAATTTAGCTCTAGCAAGAGAATAGCTAAATACACTATGGTACGGTATACCCATACTATTAAACTGACCATAGTAGTTAAATTGAATATAGTAGACCTTCAAGTCCTCAAATGGAAAGATGTCCAAGGCATAGAGCTTTAAAAAGCCAATTGTGGAATGATACGGTATAGTACACAAATACATGCAGGTGTATGTGTAGACACATATATACATACATATTTGTAAGTAAAAAGGTGGGACCTTACCATTTTTTATATCAATGATTATTACCTTTGGGTAAGTGTAGAAAAGCAGGACTAATAGTTAAAGAGGATTTGGCCTCATTTTGCGTTTTTTTTTTTACAAGGAGAATATTTTCTTGTATTATTTGTTTAATTAACATTTAATTTAAAAATTAAGTATAATGCAAACTATGAGGAAAATCAAGTTTTCGAAATCCACATTTTCATTTCCAAGAAATCCAGGAAAAAAAATACCCCAAAAACAAGAAGCCTCGTGGGCCCAGAGTTCTCACAATACCAGATGTGAGCGTCTTTTCCAGTTCCCTTCCCCTAATTCCTTGCCTTTCTCTCAACCAACATATTCCCATACCTGCCAGAGCCTGTCTATATTGTCTCTTTCCTAGACAGACCTGCAAAGGTATAACCAAAAGTGCAGCCATATCAGTGCCTTTAAGACTCAGATTCTGACAGGCAGAGGAGAGCAGAGGTGTTGGGAAAACTGTTTCAAGTAGGAACTATTTACTGTGCCTCTTGCTTTGTGCCAGGCACTGATGCTAGGGAGTCAGGTAGGGGCCAGAGAAACATTCGCCTTCATGGAGTGAATGATGGTTAAACAGGATTTTGTTTGTAAAACATGCAGTTGGGTTTAAGTCGATTTTGAATCATTAGGGCCTGGTTCTGCACAGTAATAAAAATTCATCTTCTGAATTTTTGCCCAAGCCCTCCTGCAGAGTTCTTACCTTTTCAGCAAAATTACAATTGGCCTAATAATTTTGCACATTTGCAAAAAGACCCTAAGAACAGACTCCTTTTAGGTGATAGCTAGAAGTCATTTAGAGCCAAATACAGTTCAGTCATCTGGCCAGGTGGGGTCAAGCTGTTTTTAGTTTTAAGAGGATGTAGGGGTTGTAGAAGTGGCTCTTAACTAAGGGGCCTGTATTTCCAAAGAATTGACAAAAAGTGTTTTAAACAGTCACCACATAAATGTGTAGATTCCATGACAGCAGAGACTACAAGAGCTTTATTCACTAGTGTCCCCAGCACTTGAACCCTTAGAGATGCTCAGTACATTTTGAGTGCCGGTGACCATTTTTAAGGACAAATCCTTTTTGCCTGTATTTTACTTAAGAATGTACATATACTGGCCGGGCAGGGTGGCTCACGCCTGTGATCCCAGCACTTTGGGAGGCTGAGGCGGGCGGATCAGAAGGTCAAGAGATAGAGACCAGCCTGGCCAACATGGTGAAACCCCGTCTCTATTAAAAATACAAAAATTAGCTGGGCATGGTGGTGCACGCCTGTAGTCCCAGCTACTCGGGAGGCTGAGGCAGGAGAATCGCTTGAACCTGGGAGGTGGAGGTTGCAGCGAGCCGAGATCGCACCACTACACTCTAGCCTGGGTAACAGAGCAAGACTCCGTCTCAAAAAAAAAAAAAAAAGAATTTATATATACTGCTTATTCTGAGAACTTGAAGTTACTTCTTTAGAGGGAGCAGTGCAACATGCTGTCATACTTTGTTGGATATTAAGTATTTGCTTTCATCATGTTTTTTCTTCTGAAGAGGTGGCTTCCAGTCCACCTTTTTTTTTTTTTTTTTGAGTCAGAGTCTCACTCTGTCCCCTGGGTTGGAGTGCAGTGGCCCAGTCTTGGCTCATGGCAACCTCCGCCTCCTGGGTTCAAGCGATTCTCATGTCTCAGCCTCTGGAGTAGCTGGGATTACAGGTGTGCACCACCACACCTGGCTAATTTTTGTATTTTTAGTAGAAATGGGGTTTCACCATGTTGGTCAGGCTGATCTTGAACTCCTGACCTCACCTCATGTGATCCACCTGCCTCAGCCACCCAAAGTGCTGGGATTACAGGTGTGAGCCACCGCGTCTGGCCCTGGTCCACTTTTGTTGGGGGGTGGGGTGGGTTATTCACATAACCTCTGACTTCACTCTTGATGTGGAGAGAGACGCACAGAGGTTGAGAGCACTGGGGACATTTTGAAACTCCAGCAGGCTTCATCTTGGTAGATAGTTCAACAGTGGACTTGAGCATATTTAGTATTCAGAAGGAATTTTAGTATTACTTTCCAGAAGCTGAATGTTAACCTTTTCTGCAGCCCTCAAAAATAAGGAGTGTATCAGAATATCTAAGGCTGGAATATTTTTCATTTAGTTTTAGTTATTAATGATGTCTGCCATGGGTTCCTTTCCTCTGTTGAGCATGGGCAATGATGAAGACTTTCTTTTTGACTTGCCAGTATGTAAGTTTCAAATGCAGCAAGCTGACTTACTGCTGGGAAGGGCTGGCTAACCATCTCATAAAACGTTCTGATTACACAAATGCCAGCGTCCACAGTCTTGATGCATACCTTGAATACAGAAGGTCTGACTCCCCCTTAACAATATGAAATGAAGAGTCTGAAATAAAGTCCCGGCTTTAGCCGGGAGCGGTGGTGTACACCTATAGTCCCAGCTACTTGGAAGGCTGAGGTAGGAGGATCTCTGAAGCCTAGGAGTTCAAGGCTGCAGTGAGCTATGATCACGCCATTGTACTCCAGCCTGGGTGACAGAGCAAGATCCTCTCTTTAAAAAAAAAAAAAAAAAAAATTGTTCCAGCTTCTTAATGCATATTCTGCCCAGTTATGGGGCCACAGCCTCCTCCTTTCCTTCTGTCTGCTATGGGCATGTTCCATTTTTCACCAACTGATGGAACACAGCATCTGTGTTGTGGTTTCTTTTTAACCAGAATATAAGAAAGTATTTGCTGACTGAAGCCAGAGAAAAAAATAGACCTGAATTTCTTCAGGGTTGGCAGACTGCTGTTACGAAGGTAAGTATGTGATAACAATGAAACCCAGGCATGTCCAGGGGATGGAATTATCTAAGGGTGGGTGCCTTTAAGAGCATTTGAAGACTAGTGACAGAGATACCAAGGAGAGCCTGGAGGCTCCAGGGAGGCAGCTGAGAATGAACTTCAGTTGACTATTCATCATCGCTGCTCAGTTGCCCAGTGCTTCCCGGGAGCAAATCACTTCAGTCATTTCCTCCCTGAGGAAGTTGCTAATGATGTGTTTGCTCTTCTGGGGAAAAAAAAAATCTTTTTTGGGTGGCACTTGCCTCTTGCATCATGGCTCTTATTTCCAGATGACCCATATAGACCCAGAGAAATGCTGAAATGACTATTTGGATCCACTGAGGGGGAGAAAGTGCATTGAGCTACTTGGCAGGCATGTGGGGAAGATAGTAGCCCAAGCGCTTCAGTCCCACCACTGTCTGGATGCAGCACCATGCTTGGCCCATGACATTCAAACTGTGGGGCAGAGTGCCCAGGCACAGCCGCTCATTCCTGTCGTAAATACCAGTGTCTTCATTGATGGTGGGCTGTGTTGTTTCCAGTGTTTTTGTGTATTGGATCTCATTTGATCCTTATAACCTGTGAGGTAGGCAGGTCATTTAGGGATAAGCATCGTCTTTATTTTGTAAATGAGAAAACTGAAGCCCAGGTGTGATTTTCCCCAAAGGACATCAAAACTATTGATACAGAGTCAGGTCCTTGAACACAGGTCTGTCTGGATCATTGACAGGATGTTATAGGCAGGATCTTGAAACAAACCTTTAACCCAAACCCAAAGAGACAAGATTTATTAGTTCACCCTTGAACCGAACCAAATGCTAAATTTTAAAATTAAGCTTAAGTTTTGTGTTTTGAATAACCTAGTATACCAGTTCAAACCAGAACTAGTAAATTTCCTGAATTTACCCAACTAAAAAATCTGGGTATTCTAAATTTAGTCAGGATCTTCTGTATTACCGCTTTGAGCAGAATACAGTAACCAGTTCTTTTAAAAACATACTGTTGGCCGGGCACAGTGGCTCACACCTGTAATCCCAGCACTTTGGGAGGCAAAGGTGCGTGGATTGCGTGAGTCTAGGAGTTCAAGACCAGCCTGGGCAACATGGTGAGACCTCATCTCTACAAATAATAAAATTAGCCAGGCGTAGTCCCAGCTACTTGGGATGCTGAGGTGGGAGGATTGCTTGAACTCAGGAGACTGAGATCGTGCCACTGCACTCCAGCCTGGGCGACAGAGTGAGACCCTGTCGCGAAAAACCCAAAACAAAAACCATACTGTTTACCTTCACGATTTCTTTCAAAGAATAGGACAGGGTCGTGTGATGTGAGATCAGAAGTGAAGACTGCTCAGCGGAGTTGTCGCCATCCTAGCATCCAGAGGCTGGGCCTTTGTTCTCCCAGGCACAGTTCCATTTTGACTCCACTGTCAATGAATTGATAGCAGAGCTCAGTATCCAAATGCATGTTTTAAAACAGGTTTTTACATTTGATTTCCCATTTCTCATATTTAGGTAAAACATTGTCCTATAAATTGGGGTTGCCACCTGATAGCTCTTTTTATGTGGCCAGGTGCCTCCATAAAATTAGATGCTTGAGATATCAGATATACCAGCTGTCCTGGAGAGAGAAAAGTTTCCTATCTTTTGCGCATTTTTCCATAAAGGAGTTTTTCTTATCTGAAGAGAAGTAATGGATCTTGTTTTAATGACTATTTTGTTTTTCCCTTCAGTGTATTCCACAACAGAAAAACGACAGTGACTGTGGAGTCTTTGTGCTCCAGGTAAAGAAACACTTGCTTTTCGGAACTTACAATGTGTGAATTGAGTCTGTTGGGTTGAGAGGGGAGAGATGGCAGTTCCTGTATGTGTATATGATGCTAGGTACGAGCAACGGAGTACTTTCCCTCCCCTTTATTGCTGAGGAGCAGTAGTTTCTGCATGTTCAGATGTTATCATTAGGAAGAACCACCTTCCAGGGATCAAGAGTGAAGTGTGGGTGTCATCCATGTCTCACTGGAGGTTATTAGTAAGCCACATTGGAGACTGACTTGAATTTGTCCATATCATAACCATTGGCATTTGCATAAAAAAAAAAAAAAAAAAACATTGGCAAGCAATCTGCAGGTCTTTGACACAGTGATTAGATTTTAAATAAGGTCCACGTTGAGAAACTGCCATCTTGTGCTGTAGATCTCCTTAGAGATCGAAAAGGGCTATGGAAAAAAATTCAGTTATACATATATTTATGTTGGAAATTACAGAATATGATGCATGAATTTAGAGATTTGCAAAGATCTTGGAAGACCGGTTCGTTTGTATACCTCATGCATGTTTGGGGTTTTATAAACAAATTCAAGTTCCCATTAAGGGCCATGATGGGTCTAGCTGCACTCCAGCAGGTTGCACTTTGGGAGGAATTGAGGCCTTTTCATCAGTTGCTGCTTTTCACAGTATTGGGTCAGGAGGGAGAGGAGATCCCAAGCCATGCACTAGCTTGGTCAGTCACCTATAATTTGGGTAAATGCTTAAAACAGTGTATTTTTACAGTAGTTTAAACAGACATGAAAATGCTGCCTTAGATCGGGGTCCCAAACCCCTGGGCCACGGACAGATACTGTCCACATTAGGTTCTCTTAGGAGTGTGAACCCTGTTGTGAACTGCAGATGCGAGGGATCTAGGTTGCTCACCCCTTATGAGAATCTAACTAATGCCTGATAATTCATCCTGAAACCAACCCCCTCTCCCCCAAGTCTGTGGAAAAATTGCCTTACACGTAACCAGTCCCTGGTGCCAAAAAGGTTGGGGTCTTCTGCCTTAGACACTATTAGGTCTGCATTTAGTAAAACAGAATGGGCTGGTCCACAACTCCAAGTGCCACTGAAGTGTTTCTGGGACCTTTTTTTTTGCAGTACTGCAAGTGCCTCGCCTTAGAGCAGCCTTTCCAGTTTTCACAAGAAGACATGCCCCGAGTGCGGAAGAGGATTTACAAGGAGCTATGTGAGTGCCGGCTCATGGACTGAAACTCAGCAGGGACTCTGGGAAGTCTGACCAAGTTGGAGCAGATGGTTTGTTACTTGAATCTCCAAACACTTAGTTGAATTTTTACAGATATTTCAGATCAGTGGTGTTGGGCCACTATTGTTACCTCAAATTTATTTTTTGCCCTTATTCATTTCTCCAGCTACCATGTACTATTGTTTAATGTTCAGTTTGGTTTCATTTTTAATTTTATGGTTCTGTGCGTCCCCCATATTTAATATTTATTATTCAAACGCATGCATATAGACAGAGCATGCAGTGAAGAGTATTAAAAAAAAAAGCTTAGTAGATTTGGTGCAGCTTTTGAAACTTAGTTAGACGTGAACTGAATACAGGTTTCAAATTTACTCCCAGAACCTAAAAATGCAAGATGTTTTTGATACAACATAACTCTGAGAATAGTAAGTGTTCCCTGGGGCATTAAGGGTAGCTGGGGGTGGTTTTGACAAATCCAGTCCTGTTTTACTTTACCAGCGGCAACTTTCACCAACTTCCCTCTCCAAGTGAGTCTTAGAGAGTGCAGTCCATTCCTTTTGAAGGGTGAGATGGAAGTGGTCGTAAACTGACTGGTGTCTTCTGTTTCTGGAGGCACACTTGTAAGCACAGTGGCTGCTTTGGGAGGAGTAAGGTGTGAGAAAAAGCAACCTTGGAGGCCAGTAACAATGACAGATTTCAATCGTGGTTTTAGGAATTATAATACGTGGCATACATCTCATAAAGGCTTTTGCTGGGATATTGAATTCCCTGAATTTTTCTGTTTTCGACCTGTTAAAAAAATCTTAACATCCATCAAACTAGTGGTCAAACAAATGAGAATGCAGCTGTTCTCAGAGTAATTTTTAAGTTGTCATTTCCCTGTGTTGCCTCCCAATTGGAAGAAGTTAAGGTTTACCAAATGCATTTCTATTTCAAGGGTATCTGAAACGTAAACATTCAAAACTGAAGGCTGACTGACTTGAGATGTTTTGCAGGTGGCTGGAGAGAAGAGGGAAGGTAATAGAGACAACTTAGTCCCATGGGAGCGCAGCAACCGTGTCAGGTTCTTTCTCCTGTCCCATTAGTGACCTCAGTAACATGCAGGGTACGTCTGGCTTCTGCATGGCCAGTGCTGACACTAGCACAGCTGTTCTTCTCCTTCTGTTGAACCTCATCTTCTGAAGAAAGGCCAAGTGGCCCTTGTCCATACACTTAGCTGCATTAGGATGAATATCACGCGTCTCACATCTTTAATCCAGCCTTTCGTGACATGTTGGAAAGATACATGTGAAACCTACCCAGTTACCCTTTCTGAATTGGGAGGAAAACCAACCAATGTATGTATGAGAAACTCAGAAGTCTGAATAGAAAAACAAAGTAAATGGCAGAAGATTCTCGAGTTTATGCCCGCGTAGGTTTGGAGTGTTGAAAAAGCTAAAATGTTTAGTTTCACTTGGCCCTGAGGTATGGTTGAGAAGGCTGACTGCCAGCAGTTGAGGATTGAGTCCGACCATGTTTACATGCAGGGTTCCCAACACCAGTGGTGACACTGGGAAGCAGCCCCAGCACTTTCCTCTCCTGAGTCCTCCAGACCCAAAATCCTTAATGTCAAACCAGGTCAGTGTTTCTTACTGTGTTTCAAGTCGTTAAAAAGACTGAGAGTAGAGGCACTTTATGCTGCTATAGGTGGGGTTCTGTCAGCGTTAGGAAAAAATGACAGTTTAGGGTAAGGAAGATCTCATAATGAGTTTTTCAAACATAATTATGCAAACATGAGATTTTTCAAAACATGCCAGAAATTTGCCTCTGATTTTTTTTTTTTTTTTTTTTTTTTTTTTGTGGGGGTGTGGTATACCAAAGTAGCCAGTCACTGGGCTGTCAGTTCAAAATGTCTTGTACTTCAGAGTGAGGAAGTGTTTCAGTTCCTCAGTGACAGAACCTGGCATGCAGAAGAGACAGAATTGTTCCTGTAAGAAAATCAACGCCGAGAGAGAGCTGCCCAAATCCAGTGACTCTTCCACTTCCAGTCTCATGCTTCATAGGGCACCTTGAGGTGTGCTGCCCAGTGTGGCTTAGACTAAATGTTGAGTTTGGGTTTTTTGTTTTTTTTTTTTTTTGAGTCAGAGTCTCACTGTCCCTCAGGCTGGAGTGCAATGGCGCAATCTTGCCTCACTGCAACCTCCACCTCCCAGGTTCAAGCGATTCTCCTGCCTCAGCCTCCCAAGTAGCTGGGATTACAGGTGTGTGCCACCACGCCCCACCGATTTTTGTACTTTTAGTAGAGACAGGATTTCACCATGTTGGCCAGGCTGGTCTTGAACTCCTGACCTCAAGTGATCTGCCCGCCTGGGCCTCCCAAAGTGCTGGGATTACAGGCGGGAGCCACCGTGCCTGGCCAATGTTAAGTATTTTAAAAGTCATTTTAAAATATTTGTCATTGATGAAACTTGGTTTCAGCACACGTAATTGCTTTCCCTCTCTTCTTGTGATTAGGTGTAAACCTCTATTTAACTCAAGTCCTAGATTAGAATGTCCTTTGTCCTGATGTTTGCAGTAATTGCTTCCTTGGTTAATAAAGATATTTTTGAAATATACTCTGGACTGTTGGTGAAAGAGGCAGGCATGGCTTTACTGGTACTAGTTTGGCACTGAACTGTTTGGGTGCCCATGAGGTAGGCAGACCTTATGCTTTTTTTTTTTGAGACGGAGTCTTGCTCTGTTGCCCAGGCTGGAGTGCAGTGATGTGATCTCGGCTCACTGCAACCCCTGCCTCCCAGGTTCAAGTGATTCTCCTGCCTCAGCTTCCCCAATAGCTGGGACTACAGGTGTGCGCCACCACTCCCAGCTAATTTTTGTATTTTTAGTAGAGACAGGGTTTTGCCATGTTGGTCAGGCTGGTCTCGGAACTCCTGACCTCAGGTGATCCACCCGCCTCTGCCTCACAAAGTGCTGGGATTACAGGCATGAGCTACCGTGCCTGGCCTAAACCTTACGCTTTTGAGGTTGAGTGCAGGCCTTGTGATAACTAAGCGCTACTTTTGACGAGCCTTCAACAAGCTGCCCAGTCCTCTCCTCAGCAGACGCATCAGGTTGTAGTTGCATCTTTACAGTGGTCTTTCCTTTTATTAAATCTATAGCAGTGAATATAGATTTGATTCAACTTTTAGTTACGTTCTCTCAAGAATCCTAATCAACTTTCAGTTAGCCTCTTAAGAAAGGGAAAAAAAGGTGCTGCCAGTCATCCCCAAATTATGTTTTTGGCTGTGCATTCTATTTTCTACATAGCACTGAATCTGAGTAACAGTCATCCTGGATTTATAGTTGGAACAGAACAGTAACAGACCTAACTGGGACTCAGCCAGCACTAGCCTCATCTTAGCTGCCCCTTTTCTCTGCTTTGCAGTTTACTGCTTCCCTGGGCTAGCCATAACGGGGTTCTGGGCAGGTCAGACTCTTCAGCAAGACAGTGTATTAATAGTGTGAATTAGATACACTGATGACCTGCTCTGCCTAGTTAAGAAACTGAATTAATCAGCAGTTACAAAGCACATACTTTGTTACGTGCTAGGCTTTGCCTCCTGGCCTCTAGATAATTAAGACGGCCCAGGGAATACCAGCAGAGAAGTGCTAATTGTATTTGGGTGTTACAAAAGCAGACCTAGACGAGCTGTTCACTTAACTGGTACCTGTTGGTCAGAAAAAGAATTTATTTAGAGATTATGATCATGTAAAATTACAGTACTCAACCCTTCTAGCAAAGTATTTTTTTGAAAAATAAACTAAATGCCTTTATAAACTTGTGTTCTCTCGTCTTGAGTAACATGTACTGTTTGGCGAGGAGTAATTTTTTTCTTGTGACATTCCAGTCACGACAGAGGTCATTTCAGAACAGTGAGCAGTGCAGGCCCTAACCAGCTCACCCTCAGAGCAGCAGCACCATCACTCGAATTTTCTACAACGGAAATGTTCTATATCTTCATCTTAGCTTGACTGAGAAACTGAATGTTTAATTCTCACACTTCACTAACATGTATTAATAGTGATGCCTTCATCTGTACGTTTGAATTTTCACTTTTCTCCGATTAAAGTGAGAAACAGGTCAGATGCTATCCATGAGAAATAGGAAAGAATGGTGCAGTAAAGAGACTCACATTTAGTGTTCTCTAGCCCAGGAAACATAAGATGTTCTTAATCCACCCACAATTTCCCTTCCCTTGCAATCATCCAGAGCATGTTTTTTGGAAAACTAACCTATTCTTCCATCAGTAGAGGTTGCTTGGTGCCTATTTGATCACTTTCACAAGAAAATCTGTGCGCTCTCTTCACACGCAGCAATAGTTATTTCCAACTGTCAGTCAATCAAAATGGACACGCGAATTGTCCACACTATTCATAGAATCCCCCTGGAACTCATTCATGTGTATCCAGAGTACAGGAATTCCAGAACACAACCCTCTTTATAGGCCAGGAAACAGGCAGCAACAACGATAAGTTCATCCAGCTTTATTGAAACCTATTACAGAAGACAATCCGAATAAAACCACTGTCTCCTGTAGAAATCTGAGTTATGTTGTTTTACTACAAAAGAATATAAAACACATTAAATTACAGTGTGAAGGAATTTTAAAAATGAACAGTGTATCCTCATTAAATGTTTGCAAAGTTTCTTCCTAAGCACTTACAACTAGTTACAGCTCTTTTAAAAATTCAGATTTCTACACTCAGTTTAACGGGAGAGACATTCACACTTAGGTACTTCAGCCCCAACTTTCACGGACTATTGGAAATTAGAAGGTACTTTGTTGCTAAGTGAAAAAAATGCACATTTTTTCATATCAGGGAAAATTATACTGGACTTAACAGTTTTAAATGAGCAATAACTCAGATATATTAGAGAGAAATCACCTCTTGCCTTACAAATACCAAATAAATTCCCTAGACTCCCCTCCCTGTAGAGACCATCAGCTCACTGTGAAGGCTTGAGCCTCAGTAGGTAAAATTTGAGGAAAAAAATGAGAAATGGCTAAAAGAGGC
The DNA here is from genome assembly GCF_000001405.40 of Homo sapiens. Classification (NCBI taxonomy): domain Eukaryota; kingdom Metazoa; phylum Chordata; class Mammalia; order Primates; family Hominidae; genus Homo; species Homo sapiens. The sequence continues at coordinate 196,935,953 of NC_000003.12, forward strand.
ATCTGCTGCAGGAACCTTCTGTGACTGTCAAACATTCCCTCTTCAAGCTCCCTTTTAAAACCCAGTCCATTCCCAACATCACTGAAAATGAAAAGAATAAACTTGCTGGTCCTCATGTCAAGGCAGTGTTTTCATTGTCTCTTGATATTTTATCCCATTTCCTATTGACAACATCTCCCCTACCCCTGAAATTATTTAGAGGTTCCCTCTATGACAAACCCTTGCTTTTTTTTAGCTTTAGGTATAACACTGACATCTTTTGAAAAACGTGTTAGTAAATACTCAAGTTCTGGCCTCATTTCCTGATGTATGAAGCATGGAAGCAGTGCTGTCCTGTGGAGATTGCTTTTGCACCAACTACACAGGAAGGTCCTTGACCTCTAAGCATGCCTTTAGAGGTTAGAATTCACAGAAAACAAATTCAATTGTCAAACACCTGTTCCTAATTTTGTGCAAAGCAATACAACATAGCACAACTCCATTTGTTGTTTTTCGTTGTGCTTTGTAGAGACGGGGTCTTGCTATGTTGCCCAGTCTAGTCTCAAACTCCTGGCCTCAAGCTATCCTTCCTCCTCAGCCTCCCAAAGTGTTGGGATTACACGTGTGAGCCACCATGCCTGGCCCCACCTCCATTTATTAGGCTATCTCATGCAAACTTAAAATTAAAAAAATAATCCCAGGCCCCAATGTAGATCATGAACCTACTTAAGACTCATTATGGTAAAAACAAATTCTTACATTTTTCTGTCTTTCTAAAAGTGTAGTGGTTATGGCTAAAGACTAATCAACATTACAGATCCAATCTGTTGTCAAAGAACACAATTTCTGACCTGGTAACAAAATTGTTCTGATAATCTGACACATGGCCAAGATTCTCAGACAAGAATTAAAGGCATTCTTTTGGATTCTGTCCTTTAATAACTTTCAGAGGCTTCCAGCTCAGTAAAGACACTGATCAAATCTTGGTAAAAATGGGCTCGTGTGCAGACTTTAGGTGATGTTCTTCAGCAAATTCAACAGGCCAAAGGAGTGTTTGTCACTGACAGAGCTCTCACCACTCACTGGTTCTGTGCCAGTTTTCCATAGCCTCCTCTCCCAGCATCGTAGTCCTGCCGATACTCATCCCGAACCTTTAATGGAAAGAATCCAGAGTTACAGTATGGAAAAGAATGGTGTAACAAATATGCCTCCCACAAACATGTTAGACAAACAGTGAAACCTGTTCAGATGCCACAATGTGAACATTTCAAGCAGGACATATGCACTTCAGCTCACTTCAGTGCGTTTTGCTTTCATTTTAGATGTTCCTGCAGGTGGAAGATACCTAGCCCTAGCAGAAGTTCAAGAATGGTTGCTTGTTAGAAACGTACAGAACATACCATTTCACGGTTTAAAAAAAAAATTCACCCAAACCGTTGGGTGGTTTTCAGATCCACTTCAAGCCAAGGTTATAGACACAAAGTTATTTACAAAAGAGTAAATACAAATTGCCAAAACACCTGTCATTGTGACTGGAATCCCAGGCAATGGCTGAGCCCAGAGACCCTTCTTGCATACCTGGCCCCCAGATCGCCCACGGCCGTATTGCCTGCCCTCCTTAAAGCCTGCGTCCCAGTCTGTGCGAATGATTCGGTCATCCAGACGCGTCCCATTTATGTACCGCATGGCGTTTTCCGCATCTGCGCGTGAGTAATATCTTAAGTATTAAGGAACACTAGCATTTTTCCAAACATTTCTGGAAATAGGGGAACAACATGTAAATGAAGCTGAGTTGTTAAAAAGTACAAGAGCTAATCCAACCAGATGGAGTTCAAAGACAGTAATTCAGCTTGCCCAGGCCTGTTTGCGATTGGTTTGGAAGCACATAGAGTCAAATATGACACGTATCCATGGCTACACTGATCATATTTCTTGGACATTCCTGTTGATAATTTTTGGTCCCATCATCTCTGTATTTTGGTTTGCAAGTTTAGATCACTGTACACTTCTTATCCAAGAAACCAGTGCTGTATATTCAAGTTAGGTTCTGTACATTCCAAGGCACCCTAATCAAGAGAAGGTCACCGTGCACGTGGAATTGTGCTGCACTTCACTAAAGGAAAGACTCAAGCTGTCACCAAGGTAGCAGTTCCCAAACCTACTTCATCAGAGACCTCCCTTTAATTAAAGGGGAAGACATTTAATCTCAGACAAATAAAAATAAGACAACAGTGTTCTGAATAAACCATCTGGAGAAACTAGTATCTTTGATGTTAGCAAGCCAAAATAAAATCTCTTTTCATTCTAGCATTTGGGAAACCTGTGTATCCCCGAGGCAAGCCTGCAATCTGGGAGAGAAGCCCTGCCTGGGTCCAGTGAGTCAGCATTCTTTTCCTTAATTATGAGCAGAAATCCAGGGATCACCAGACACTTAAGGAAAAATTTCAACCGAAACAAACATAATTCAGGGCACAGGAAAAAATTCAAAAGATATATTAAATTGGGCCTGCAAAATTTCTCAGAATATTAAATTGAATGACCAAAACATACAGTAAAAAGAACATAGGATAAATCCAAGAGGTCCAATACTTAAAAGAGTCTGAGTAAGGGAATTAAATGATCAAAGTAAATAGTTTTGGTTTGTACCTATACAGTCAGGTTATATACATCTATATAATGAAATACTATACAGCTATTTACTTAAAAGTTTTTTTCTTTAAAGATGGGGTCTTAACCCGTCACCCCCGCTGGAACACAGTCACAACTCAGTGCAGCCTTGAAATCTTGGGCTCAACTGATCCTCCTGCCTCAGCTTCCTGAGCAGCTGGCACTACAAACACCAGCCACCATGCCCAGCTGTACAGCTATTTTAAAAAAAGACCTACATATGCTGAAATGGAACAATAAAAAATAAAAAAATGATTTTAAAAACAGCACATGAAATACACTACCGCACACCCACAGGGTTACTTCTTGAAAGACGCCCAAGAAACTGGTAACTGACTGCCTCTGGCAAAGGGCATTAGGGGTTTAGAACAGTACGAGATTTTTATATTTTCACTACATTCTTTGGAATTTTTTTTTTTTTACGTGAAGGGCAAACATTCTTGAAAAACTTTTTGTTAAAGAACCATAAAGCATGGATTTCAGAAGAGAATATAAATAGTATCAGCTTTACAGTATAAGGGCAGAGACACACTGGGTGGAAAGTAGGAGGGAGATGAAGGAAAACGTAGGGACGAGTGCAGGGACGCTTATGAGCTACCACTCTCAGCTCTACCCTGGTTCAGCAGCTACATTAGATCCATGGGAAGGATACTCCACAAAACAGAATCCACATGCTGTTTTCTTCATTTTATCCAGACCCATAATGATTTTCTTTATGTCACCACTTTTGCTGAAGAGTTCATAGATTTGTTCTTCAGTTGTGTAAAAAGAAAGATTTCCAACATATAACGTACAGCTTTTCTTCAGTAATTTTTCTTGTTCTTCATTGTCACCCTAGAATTTCAAATAGAGACAAAAGTTAAGCAACTTCAGAGCCTTGCTTAAATAGTATTTCTAAGTACGGTAGAGACATTCATTAATTCTGGTTTGGAAATCAACTTCTCTCATCCCAGCCTACCAGAAATCCCTTGCCCAAAAAGGGGGATGTCGACCTTCTGTGAAGCACTTATGCGAAGTCCAGACTCTTAGTAGAGACAGGGCTCAAAAGTTATACCACATACAACAAAGTCACTTCTACGCCCGACTGCCACGCAAGCGGCTTCCCTTTTCCCTGCACACACCATATCCTCAGCAGTGCATCCTTTAAACCCAAGTGTAGACTCTGGACCTTGACCCAATATATGACAAAGGGCCCTTTTATCCTTCGTAGTGAAAAATAAGTGGGTTTTCAGAGAGAGAGAGAGTTCCTCTTTAATAACCCCCTAGAGACTGTTGAAAGCCACAACCTTGATGCTTTACGTGCTCATAGATCTTTCTCTGAGTTTAGGGGAAAATGTAGTGATCACTAAAAACAAAACAGAGCTCACTTTCTTAATGGGCTTCCAAATTGGGATGACAGGATGAAGCCAGAGACTTAAGCATATAACTGGGCTTCATCCAACACACCTGACAGACAAAGCCCTGGGTCCAAAATGGCTCATCGGGGTCAGGCGCGGTGGCTCATGCCTGTAATCCCAGCACTTTGGGAGGCTGAGGCGAGTGGATCGCCTGAGGTCAAGAGTTTGAGACCAGCCTGGCTAACATAGTGAATGAAACCCTGTCTCTACTAAAAATACAAAAATTAGCTGGGCATGGTAGCAGCGGGCGCCTGTAATCCCAGCTACTCGGGAGGCTGAAGCAGGAGAATCGCTTGAACCTGGGAGGTGGAGGTTGCAGGGAGCTGAGATTGCACCACTGCACTTGAGCCTGGACAACAAGAGTGAAACTCTATCTCAAAAAAAAAAAGTCCACAGGACAATAGTCATTGTATGTTAAAAAGAGGTTTTCGGAACTTTGGAGTGAGACATTAGAGAAAGTAAATTCCTTTCATTTTACTGCTGTTACTGATTTGTGAACATGGAAAGGAGGCATCTTCTTTTTCTACTTTTCTCACACATGTAAGTAAGATCCAAATAAATAGCCTACAGTTTAAGATAACTGTGGTGTAAGTGCTTAAAGTATATTAATATGGATTCCATTCACAGAATGCTAGAAATTCCACATGACAGTATGGCATTAGCATCTAAAAAAAGCTACAGGTTTAGACTGAGGAGATGAATAATAGACAAAGTCAGAAGGTTCCAGTTTTCATCTCACAGGATGCTTTAAGTTCAAAATGGTCAGGATGTGGAACTGTCTAAAGTAGTAACTAAAAGTGGTAGAAGTGCAAATCATGCCTGGCACTTAGGCATCCCAGCACTTTGGGAAGCCCCAGGCAGGTGGATCGCTTGAGTCCCAGAGTTCGAGACTGGCCTGAGCAACACAGGGAGACCCTGTCTCTACAAAAAATTAGCTGGATGTGGTGGCGCGAGCCTGTGGTCCCAGCTTCTCAGGAGGCTGAGGTGGGTAGGATCACTTAGGCTCAGGAGGTTGAGGCTGCGTGAGCCGTGATTGCGCCACTGCACTTCAGCCTAGGCAATAAAGCGAGACTCTGTCTCAAAAAATAAAATACATTAACTGAATAAATTTTTTTTTTTTGAGAAGGAATATCGCTCTGTTGCCCAGGCTGGAGTGCAGTGGCGCGATCTCACAGCAACCTCCACCTCCCCGGTTCAAGCGATTCTCCTGCCTCAGCCTCCCGAATAGCTGGGATTACAAGCGCCTGCCACCACGCCCGCCTAATTTTTGTATTTTTAGTAAGACGGGGTTTCACCATCTTGGCCAGGCTAGTCTTGAACTCCTAACCTCGTGATCCACCCGCCTCAGCCTCCCAAAGTGCTGGGATTACAGGCGTGAGCCACCGTTCCCAGCCTTGACTAAATAAATCTAAGAGCTTCCCTAATTTAGCGTCAAACAAAATTTCCCTTTCCCTACTCTAGTAACACATTTCACACATTCTCCACACTTACCCTCTGCTATATGCGCCCCTTCCTTTCCCAGTCACAAGGGGATTTTTCCCTTTTCTGAATCCTCACTACAGGGGATTATGAGCTCGCAGAGCGCAGAAACTGTCTTCCCTCTCCCTCTAGGGTTTAGCACAAGGATTTGGCGACAGCACTCGATAAACGTTTACTAAATAATTGGGTTAATGAGTCCCGCCCCGCCAACCCCCAACCGTATTCCATCCCTACCTCCGCTGATACTGAAAAGTCTACTTTGAATATCTGCTGCCTCCCCTTTTTCCACAAAATATACTGTGATATAGTCCGGACTAAAAATTTCCCTCTTCTGAAATCCAGCAATTCTCCGATCTTTACATCCGAACACCCTCAAAGTGCCGAGCTTGGCGGGTCCACCTCCCCACTCCGAAGCTTCCCCGAGGGCGGAGTGAGGACTCCACTTGTGTCTCCCACGCACCGCGTACAGCTTCCGTAACACCATCCTCCCAGAGAAGGGGCCCGAATCGCCGAAGGGCACTGCTTCGCCGATTTAAAAAACAAAGCAAAAAGCCCCGCATCTGCATCAGGAAGGCGCCTCTGCCTACTCTGGGAGAGAGAAGGGCACCCCTCCCCCTTGCTACGTAGTCGTCTGCGGAGGCACAACCGTGGAAACGGGAGCCGCCACCACCACCACCGCTCAAACCTCTCGGCACTGGCTGGGGTACAGGGAGCGGCTGCGAGCGAATGGGATAAGCGAGCCTCCAGTTCCCCGTCTTCCAGAGCAAGTGGCTTCAGTGATATCCAAGCGCCCTTCCAGCACCCATTCCCTGCCTCGCCAGCAGGCACCGGGGCCCCACTTGGCGTTTGCGGATTTCAGCTGAATGGGAGGCGACACAATGAGACAAGAGCAAACCGTTTCTCAGCGTTCTTGCCCAGGGCCTTCCCGTCTCGCGGCCCGGCCTCCCTCACCCGGAAGTGCTGGTCCCGGTACTGGCTCAGCTCCACGTAGGAGTCGCTGCGCAGCGCCTTCAGGAGGCCACCCGACATAGTGCAGAGAAGCGGACCACAATGCGGCGACTCCCGGCACGAGGCTGCGTCCGCGATGGCGGAAGCGGAAACGCGCGGAGGCGAGCATCTCATTGGACCCAATCCGAGGGCGGCGTGTCGTCATCAAGCTGCGCGGGGGCATAGACGTCCGGGTCGGGCGCCGCGGGGCGGAAGACGAGGGCGGCGAGGTCGGGTTCCGGGCGCTTGGAGAAGATGGTGCTGCGGCGGCTGCTGGCCGCCCTGCTGCACAGCCCGCAGCTGGTGGAACGTCTGTCAGAGTCGCGGCCTATCCGACGTGCGGCGCAGCTCACGGCCTTCGCACTGCTGCAGGCCCAGCTGCGGGGCCAGGACGCGGCCCGCCGCCTGCAGGACCTCGCGGCTGGGCCCGTGGGCTCCCTGTGCCGCCGCGCTGAGCGATTTAGAGACGCCTTCACCCAGGAGCTACGCCGCGGCCTCCGAGGCCGCTCGGGGCCACCACCAGGTAGCCAGAGGGGCCCTGGCGCAAACATTTAATCCTGGGCTGTGCGGGGCCGAGGCCGCTTGCTTTTCCTTCCGGGCTCTACAGTGGCATCAATGTGGAGGGGTCATTCCGGGCACTGCGCGCGGCTTCGAATCCCGACTGGGATTGTTGGCCTGCAGACATCCCACGCATAAGAGCCTAGGCCAGACCGCCCGCTCCGTTGAAGTCTTGTGATTGGACAAGACACAGTGTGGAGACAGCCCTAAGCCTAACAGAGATGAAGGTAGGCTGGGTCCAGACACGGCACCTACGGAGAGCCACGGACCGAAGCCAGAGAGCCTTTCCTCTGCAAGTGGGACTGAAACTCTTGACAGATGCTGCTCAATCTGACTGGTATAGCAGGACAGTTAATTCCAGGGACGATATGGATGAAAAGACAACCCTACAGCTGCCAAATTCCTTTGATTAAATGTGTGAGCTGGTTGATAGGCATGAGTGTGATACTTCTCAGGCAAGATGTGTTAAGAATACCGGGGACTGTAGGCCTATGGTAATAATAAACACGTATTTTATGAAATGAGTCTTCTGTGCTGGGACTTGCTCATTGCACTCTATGTGTTATCTCACTCCTTACAACGACATTCACATGAGGAAGCAGATTACTTTTTGGATTTTTTTGTAGAGATGGGGTGGTCTCGAACTCTTGGGCGCAAGTGATCCTCCCGCCTCAGCCTCCCAAAGTGCTGGGATTATAGGCAAGAGCCACTGCGATGGAAACAGAGGCTGCTGCTTAAGTTGCCCAAAGTCTTGCAGAGTGGGATGTGAGCAGAGGCATTTGACTCCAGGGCCTAAGTCCTTAACACAGCTCTGCAGCATTTACCCTGATACTCAACCCCTTCCTTCCCCAACCCCCCACCATCAGGCATTAAGACTACTGCCTAGGGGCAGGGCCTGGTGGCAGTTGTGTCTTATCCCAGCCACTGCAGAGGCAGGAGGATCGCATGAGCCTGAGATGAGACCAGCCTGGGTAGCATAGCGAGAACCTTTCTCAAAAAAAAAAAAAAAAAAAAAAAAGACTACTGCCTGCCATGGAACAAGTTACCTGGACTCCTATCCTGTGGGGAAAAGAGAGATCAGATTGTTACTGTGTCTGTGTAGAAAGAAGTAGACATAGGAGACTCCATTTTGTTCTGTACTGAGAAAAATTCTTCTGCCTTGAGATGCTGTTAATCTGTAACCCCACCCCCAACCCCCTGCTCTCTGAAACATGTGCTGTGTCCACTCAGGGTTAAATGGATTAAGGGCGGTGCAAGATGTGCTTTGTTAAACAGATGCTTGAAGGCAGCATGCTCGTTAAGAGTCATCACCACTCCCTAATCTCAAGTACCGAGGGACACAAACACTGCGGAAGCCCACAGGGACCTCTGCCTAGGAAAGCCAGGTATTGTCCAAGGTTTCTCCCCATGTGATAGTCTGAAATATGGCCTCGTGGGAAGGGAAAGACCTGACCGTCCCTCACAGCGTGACACCCGTAAAGGGTCTGTGCTGAGAAGGATTAGTGAAAGAAGAAGGAACGCCTCTTTGCCGTTGAAACAAGAGGAAGGCATCTGTCTCCTGCCCGTCCCTGGGCAATGGTGTAAAACCCGATTGTATGTTCCATCTACTGAGTTAGGGGAAAACCGCCTTAGGGCTGGAGGTGGGACATGGGGGCAGCAATACTGCTCTGTAAGGCATTGAGATGTTTATGTGTATGCATATCTAAAGCACAGCACTTAGTTCTTTACCTTGTCTATGACACAGAGACCTTTGTTCACGTGTTTATCTGCTGACCTTCTCTCCACTATTATCTTATGACCCTGACACATCCCCCTCTCCGAGAAACACCCAAGAATGATGAATAAATACTAAGGGAACTCAGAGGCCGGCGGGATCCTCGTCTGCTGAATGCCGGCCCCCTGGGCTCCCTTTTTTCTTTCTCTATACTTTGTGTCTCTTTCTTTTCCAAGTCTCTCCTTCCACCTAACGAGAAACACCCACAGGTGTGGAGGGGCAACCCACCCCTTCACTACCCCTCATTTTAGAGGGTCAGGGATACAGACAGACTACGATCCAGCCAGTTAGCAGACCTGCGATTAGGAAATCCATTGTATATAGAAATGTCCTGTCATTTGAAGCTCCTAGCTAAATTTCTGATTTTTTTTTTGAGACAGGACCTAACTCTTGCCCAGGCTGGAGTGCAGTGGCACAATACTAGCTGTCACTGCAACCTCGACCCGTTGGGCCAAGCGATCTTCCTCCCTGGGACTCCCAAGTAGCTGGGATTACGGGCCCATGACACTATGCCCAGCTAATTAAAAACTTTTTTTCTGTTTTTTTTGTTTTTTTGAGACGGAGCCTTACTCTGTCACCAGGCTGGAGTGCAGTGGTGCGATCTCGGCTCACTGCAACCTCCACCTCCCGGGTTCAAGTGATTCCCCTGCCTCATCCTCCTGAGCAGCTGGGACTACAGGTGCGTGCCACCATGCCTGGCTAATTTTTTGTATTTTAGTAGAAACGGAGTTTCACCACGTTGGCCAGGATGGTCTCGATCTCCTGACCTTGTGATCTGCCCACCTCGGCCTCCCAAAGTGCTGGGGTTACAGGTGTGAGCCACCGCGCCCAGCCACAATTTTGTTTTGTTTTGTTTTTGGTTGAAATGGCATTGCACTTTGTTGCCCAGGCTGGTCTTGAACTCCTGGCCTCAAGCAGTTCTCCTGCTTCCGCCTCCCAAAGTGCTGGGATTACTGGTGTGAGCCACCACACCCAGCTCTGATCATTTCTAGTTAGGCAGCACAGTTAATCATGCAATCTAGAAAGCTTGAAGCCATCGGAAAAATTGAGGCTGGTAACCAGACACTAGCTGAGTGTTGTGTGTTCTCTGCCCTCTGGGGCAGGATGGGAGGGCTTGAGACCCACAGTTCTAAGGAGGAAGAACACCTGGCTCCCTAATCTGGGAAAATGACCCCCTTTTTTTTTTTTTCCCCCAAGACGGAGTCTTGCTCTGTCTCCCAGGCTGGAATGCAGTGGCTCTCGGTTCACTGCAACCTCTGCCTCCTGGGTTCAAGCAATTCTCCTGCCTCAGCCTCCTGAGTAGCTGGGATTACAGGTGCGTGCCACCACGCCTGGCTAATTTTTATATTTTTAGTAGAGATGGGGTTTCACCATGTTGGCCAGGCTGGTTTTGAACTCCTGACCTCGAGATCTGCCTACCTTGGCCTCTCAGTACTGAGATTACAGGTGTGAGCCACCATGCCCAGCCAGGAGAATGACTCTTAAGGACAAGGTGCAGAAATGGCTGGAGAGTTTCCCACCACCTCTCAGGAACAGGAGTAAAAGAAAGTAGGGAGAAAATCTCCAGTGCTATTATATATTTCAAACATTACTTGTTTGCATAATAACCAAACACTGAGACAGCAGGCATCAGAGTGCCATGAAGTACAACACAACTCCCACTTCCATGCTTGAAGAGCTTTGTGAGAGCTGTGCCTGTTGAGGCAGGGGACGTGTACTGTGGACTCCAGGAATGACACAATGTTAGCCGGCAGACACCTCAAAGTTCCTCTGATCCCAACAGACTGGGAAGTGGGGTGGGTGAGTGGAAGGAGCTTTCTCAAGATCACACAGCGAGGAGGTGACAGACCAAGGGGCCAGAAGTTGGGTCCCCTGGATCTGGGCCACCTGTTCTCTATACTTCGTCTCACTGACTTGCACATATTTCGATAGGCAGATGGGTCTTAGGAAGCCAGAGGGTTGTCATGACAGCAAGGGTAAGGCATCATGGGAGGTTTGGGAGAGGTCATTGAGGAATGTCACTAGCAGTTCATTGTCTTTTTTCACAACCAGGTACTATCACATATTTCAAACATCACAGTGGCTGGAAGCAACAGGGCAGGAACAGACAGGTGTCGTCACTTAACCTGGTCTTTGGGGACCTTGACATCAAGACCGACAGGTCAAATCTTTGGTCTCAGGGAGAAGAGTGCCAGCTCACCCAGAAGGCAGAACAGCTAACAGCCATGCCCAGGAGAGGCAGCAGTGGGAGTCATGAAGGAGGACGGGGTCCTGTCCCAGCGTCCCAGCCCAGCTACCCAAGTAGAAGGTGGGGCGGCATCTTCTATGGCTGAGTCTTGGGCAGTGGGTGCTCTGTCATATTGTCAGGTTTCTTCCCCCAGCTCCACAATGTGAAGACTGAGGTGGTCCCTCCAAGCCCCACTCAGCAAGGAGGACAGGGCTGGTGGATCCTCCAGGGTCAGATGGGGAAATAAAAGTGTTTCATTCTTGAAGGGGAAGCTGCACTTCTCCACGGCACGCCTGGTGGTGCCAGGGGTTACCACAAAGAGGCGGCAGAGCCATGGCCCACCAGCCACTTGGCAGGCTGGTTGTCTGGTGAAGCTTTTCAGGGTTTGGCACAGGGCCCAGTCCTCAGTCCCCCCCATGTCCACCACCTCCACTGGTGCCCCCAGGCCTGGGAGGTGTAGGAGGTGCCGGGGGGGCATGTAGGTGTGAGTGAAGAGGAGTGTGTAGTGGGTGGGTGTGCTTGGGAGCACAGGGGCATGGACCACCTGCTCCAGGTACTCCAGGCCAGGCACCAGGCCCCCCTGATGCAGGCAGCCGAAGAGGAGGGCACCGAGGGCGTTGAAGAGGACCACAGTGCCCTTCCAAGGCACAGGCTGCGTCTGTGGACTACAAAGCAGGACCAGGGGGACCAGGAGGGGAATCAGGAACCGAGCCTCCTGGTGGCTAAAGGCAGATAGCAGGGCCAGAGGCATGAAGTAGAGGAGAAGGAGATAGGACCTGGGGCTGGACAGCAGGCTCCGGGCACCCAGTGCCCTCAGGAGGCCCATTTGTGCAGAGGCCTGGAGGCCGACTTGCAGCCGTTGCCACGCAGCCTGCAGGGCCTGGGCATGCAGCACCCCGAAGAGCAGGAAGCCGTTGACTGCCAGGTGAGTGAGCCGCGCGTGCGTGCCATGTCTCGCCAGGTTTTGGGGATTCAGGTTGTAGTGCAAGAAGTTGACAGGTGTCAGGACAAGGTTCCTGGATGTAGCGGGGCTGGAGAAATACCAGCTGTCCGTGGCCACAAACACCGCTGCTGTGAGGGCTGCCCCAGGGAGCAGCACCAGGGCCTCCCGGGTCAGAGACTTCAAACCAGGGTTTGTGGCTCCACGAGTGCCCCAGAGGTAGAGGGGGACCACAGCAAAGGCCAGAAAGGTGGGCCGGTTGAAGAAGCCAGCAGCCACAATGCCTCCAAGAAGCCAGCTGCGCCACCGTGGACCCGGCGCCGGCTCCTTGCGTGTAGGGCCCCACGTTACATGGGAGGATACCAGCACCAGCAGCCACGTGAAGAGGAGTCCCTCAATGGTGTTGGAGAAGGTCCTTGTGTAGAAGACCAGGGTGACGTAGGAACCAGACAGCAGGGCCAGGGCGTTCCAGCGATCCGCCCCCATCGGCGGGGCCAGGTGGTACACGGCCCCGTCCAGAGCAAAGGAAAGGGCAGTGAGGAGGAGTCGAGGCCCCACCAGCAGCGCATAGCCGCTCACCAGGCCAGGCCACGGCCCCAGCTCCTCCCAGAGCCTGAGCAGCCAGAAGGTGGAACCAGAGATCAGCAGGGGGAAGAGCACCGAGCGGCAGGAGCTGCTGGGGTAAAACTCCCAGGGCCGCGCGGCCTGAACGCCCAGGATGTCCTCTGCAGAGAGAGGCAGAGGTGAGCCAGTACCAAGCTCAGGGATGTAGTGGGCAAAATTCTAGGAGGGCACCCCACATTTCCCACCCCTTGGTGTGTGTGCCCTGCGTAATCCCTGGGACTGTGCACGGGCTGGATTTTTCCTCCCTTCCCTCCCTCTCTCCCTCCTTCTTTCCCTTCCTTCCCTTCCTTCCTTCCCTTCCTTCCCCTTCCTTCCCTTCCCCTCCCCTCCCTTCCCTTCCTTCCCTTTACTTCCCTTCCTTCCCCTCCCCTCCCTTCCTTCCCTTCCCCTCCCCTCCCTTCCCTTCCTTCCCTTTACTTCTCTTTCCCTCCCCTCCCTTCCCTTCCTTCCCTTCCTTCCTTCCCTTCCCTTCCTTCCCCTTCCTTCGCTTCGTTCATCTCTGTCACCCAGGCTGGAGTGCGGTGGCGAGATCACAGCTCTCGCTATGTTACTCAGGCTGATCTCAGACTCCTGGCTTCAATCCATTCTTCCAGCACAGCCTCCTAATGTGCTGGGATTACAGGTTTGAGCCACTGCACCTGGCCCGCAGGATGGACTGTATCCTGAGATTAGGTTACTTATACAGGAGCACTGACTGTAAAATAGGGAGACTATGCAGTGGGCCGGACCTAATCACAACAATCTTTTAATAACAGAGTTTTCACCAGCTGGACGCAGAAGTGGCAGTGAGATTCAAAGCATGAGAAGGATTTGACATGCCACTGCTGGCTTCAAGACGGAAGAGGCCATTGGCTAGGAATGTGGGTGGCCTCTGAAAGCTAAGAGCAAGGAAGCCGCACCATAGGTTCCACAGCTGAAATGAACTAGATTCTGCTAGAATTAGAGAGCTTCCAGACAAGAACTCAGCCCAGTCCATACGCTGATGTCCACCTTGTGAGCAGAGAGCCCGTGCTGCCCTTCTGATGGACAGAACTGTGAACTCACAGACGGGTGCAGTTTGAGCTGCTCGTAGGATTTTGAGGATTTGTCAGGAGCAGCAGAAGCAAGTGCAGGGGAGCTCAGAGTGCAGAGGGCAGGAGGGGCTTCCCCGGGAGATGAGGTGGCAGTGTGTCCTGGGAAGAGTGTGTGGGAGGCGGGCAGGTGGGGGAGGCCTAACCTCTTCTCAGGGTTCCAAGATCTCAAAAGCCAAGGACAAGCACCCTTGTCCTTACACCTGTCAAGCTTGACAGAGCCGCATCTCTGATAATGATTGTTATCAGGAGATGGGGGGAGAGAAGAGGGGTAGGTGATGAGCCATCAGGGTTATGTCAGAGGTGATTTATGTTAGTTTTGTTTACAATACTTAAATTTTTTTTTTTTTAGACAGAGTCTCACTCTGTCACGCATGCTAGAGTCCAGTGGCGCTATCTTGGCTCACTGCAACCTCTGCCTCTGGGGTTCAAGTGATTCTCCTGCCTCAGCCTCCAAGTAGCTGGGACTACAGGCGCCCGCCACTGTGCCTGGCTGATTTTTGTATTTTCAGTAGAGATGGGGTTTCGCCATGTTGGCCAGGATGGTCTTGAACCCCTGACCTCAGGTGATCCACCCGCCTCAGCCTCCTGAAGTGCTGGGATTACAGGCGTGAGCCACTGCACCCTGCCTATGATACTTAAATTTTTTGTAAGAAGAATATATCCAAGTAGTACTTACATAATTTAAGAAATACTTGCTGCCTGTTCTGTAACCCTGTGCCCCAACGTCCCAGAGCTCTGAGGGGTGGGGGCGCGGGAGCAGCTCCACTCCAAGCCTCATTGTTCACAGCGTCTCTTGCTTGATCACCTGCTGGCTGTTTCGAGCTGATCATACAGCCTGCGGATCATTCGGGCTCTTTGATTCTGCTACTTATTTCTCCAGACTTTCAGCTGTTTTATCTATCTATGTTAGATGTTGAAAGGGAAGCAAAATCCAGGATCAAATCTATCTGGCTGCTTTTCTGGTTAAAAAACGACGTGAGGGAAAGAAGATGAGCCTTTTAACTTAAAAAACAAATTCACCTGTTGAGCCCTGTGGCAAAGAAAGCTGATGCCTCCAAAATATCTATTCCCTCCTCCTTCATTAGACTTTTTTTTTTCTTTTTTTGAGATGGAGTCTCGCTCTGTTGCCCAGGCTGAAGTGCAGTGGCACAATCTTGGCTCACTACAACCTCCACCTCCTGGGTTCAAGCAATTCTCCTGCCTCAGCCTCCCAAGTAGCTGGGATTACAGGCGCCTGCCACCATGCCAGGCTAATGTTTTGTATTTTTAATAGAGATGGGGTTTCATCATTTTGGCCAGACTGGTCTCAAACTCCTGACCTCAGGTGATCCACCTGCCTCAGCCTCCCAGAGTGCTGGGATTACAGGCGTGAGCCACTGCATCTGACTCCTTTGACTCTTTTTCTGGGCACTTGGTCAGATATAAAGACTATAATTTTTAGCTTCCTTTGCAGCTAGGTGTGGCCTCATGATACATTCTGCCCAGTGTGATAGAAATGAGCAAAAAGCATGCGCCCTTCAAAATATGACCTTAAAGAGAGAAGTAATGCCCTTCTCCTTTGTTGGCTGGAAAGACTGCCTGTAGGCTTGATGGCTGGAGCTCAAGCAGCCGTCTTGAACTATGAGGATGACCCCACATGCCCATCACATCTGAAAGGCCTCAAGGCCTTTGGGCGAGACGGTATGGGCCAGGCAACCAGCCTCATGATGTGTCCCACACCGCCTAACAGATGAGTGAGTGTCCCAGGTCTGGGTTCCCTTACCCCTCTCTTGAATCTACAGAAGAGAAGTTTCATGATCTCAGATCACAGCCCTATGGAAGCTCTTGCCAAACACTGGGGAAGCCTAACTCTAATAAAAGTGTTCCCATGGGAAGTCCAACACAGCTCTCATTCTGAATGACCTGTATTGTTGGTCCAAGCAGGGATACATCAAAGAGACTGGTGGTTTATTAGCATTACCCAGAAGGTCAGTGTCACCACTCGGGAAGGAGATATGAAGTCCCCACTTCCAAGTTCTTACCCCAGAGAGAGAGGCTGCTGCTCTGCTTGTGGATTTACTACTCATCTACCCAGACATGCTACTCCCTCCCCACAAAGTCTCCCGTCAGCTTCTCAAGCAGACTCTGCTGCAGCTTGTCTCAGCCACACATGCGGAGTTTTACCTGCCATCACCTCAGGGGACTGGAAGAACTCATCTGGGTGCACATAGCCCGTCTGCGGAAGGAGACACCACAGCACTCGGAGCAGGCTGAGACCACCCCAAAGCACCCTGACTGCCATCTTCAGATCCAGTTGTTGCCAACACACCGGGCCCAAAACCTGGAATGATGTCCCAGCTGCTACAGATGCTACGCTGGATCCACAGATCTGCATCTGTTGAGGATAACAGTTGTTGGTTATCACGATGTAAATTATAATATATTCAACTGTCTGAACAAACTGAAAATGGATCTGTCATTTAATAAAAATGACAATAATAATAATAGCTACTTCATACTCTATGCCCACTAACTGCCAGGCACGTGACATGCATATTTCATTTAATCCTTTCCACAGTCTGGAGCAGTGGGTCTTAGGATCCCTGTTGTACAGATGGGGAAACGGAGGCCTCTGCTGAGTAACTTGGTTACTTGCTGATCATATTTGCTAAGGAGTCTGATGGTTCATTTTATGTGTCCACTTGACTGGCCTAAGAGATACCCAGATAGCTGGTAGAACATTATTTCTGGCAGTGTCTATAAGGGTATTTCAGGGAGAGATTAGCCTTTGTTGTGGTTTTTTTGTTTGTTTGTTTTTTGAGACGAAGTCTTGCTCTGTCACCCAGGCTGGAGTGCGGTGGCATGATCTGGGCTCACCGCAACCTCCACCTCCCAGGTTCAAGTGATTCTCCTGCCTCAGCCTCCTGAGAAGCTGGGATTACAGGCACACGCCACTACGCCCGGCTAATTTTTGTATTTTTAGTAGAGACGGGGTTTCATCATGTTGGTGAGGCTGGTCTTGAACTCCTGACCTCATGATCCGCCCACTTTGGCCTCCCAAACTCCTGGGATTACAGGCGTGAGCCACCGTGCCCAGCTAAGATTAGCCTTTGAATTGGTAGACTAAGAAGATCAGCTGCACCAGTGTGGGTGGGCATGATCCAACCCATTGAGGGTCTGAATAAAACAGAAAGGTGGAGGAAGGGTGAATTTGCACTCTCTTCAGCTGGGATAGCCATCTTCTCCTGCCTCAGACATCGGTGCTCCTGGTTCTTGGGTCTTCAGACTCTATGTCTCACACCAGTGTGCCCCAACCCACCTCCCTGAATCAAGCTCTCAGGCCGTCGGACTAGGACTGGGAGTTACACTGTAGGCTCCTCTGTTTCTAAGGCTCCCGACTCAGACTGAATTCAACCACCAGCTTTCCTGGTTCTCCAGCTTGCAGGTGTCAGATTGTGGGACTTCACCAGCCCCCATAATTGCATGAGCTAATTTTCATAGTAAATGATAAAGCCAGTTCCCTATTGTTTCTGTTTCTCTGGAGAATCCTGACTTATACAGGGTCTAAATATGACATTTGCTCAATGTGACATTTGCAAGGAAGATCAGGGTACCCAACAAATCTGGGTCTTGCAGCCCATCCTGATCACCAGCTCCTATCCACAGGCCAGTATGGCAGGCTGCTTCTTGCATTTCTGAAAACTTGGGAAAGTCAACGGATGCCACCCATTTCCCTGCAAAAATTACACTCAACCCCATTGTTTCCAGTCACTCCCTCCAACTTTCACACACCCTGGAACCTGCCTTTTGGAAGGTGATGGGAACATTTGTAACTCTATATGATGAGAATCCTAACTCCCTCAACTCAAATATAGTATTAACTGCATCTCAGAAGTTTTCTATGTAACTCAAAGAGCAGTGACAATCTGAGCCCATGGCATGCTGGATCTGTAAGTCCACAGCATCACTGCTGAACAGGAAAGCAAGCTTGACAACCTGCTTGTCCCTCCTCCAGAAATAGTGATGTTGCCCTGACTTCTTGATATTTTAAATTCTGACCTTAAATAGTTCTTGCTCTCAGGTGTAATGTCAGGTGGCTCACACCTATAATCCCAGAACTTTGGGAGGCTGAGATGAAAGGATCGCTTGAAACCAGGAGGTCAGACCAGCCTGGGCAGCAAAGTGAGATCCCCATTTCTACGAAAAAATAGCTGGACACAGTGGTGTGTGCTGGTAATCCCAGCTATTCAGGAGGCTGAGACAAGAGGATCACTTGAACCCAGGAATTTGAGGCTGCAGAGAGCTATGATCACACTACTGCACTTCTGCCTAGGTGACAGAGCAAGACCCTGTCAAAAAAAAAAAGCCAGGTGCGGTGGCTCACACCTGGAATCCCAGCCCTTTGGGAGGCTGAGGCAGGCAGATTGCTTTAAGTCAGGAGTTTGAGACCAGCCTGGCCAACATGGCAAAAACCTGTCTTTACCAAAAAAATACAAAATTTAGCCAGGTGTGGTGGTGTGCACCTGTAATCCCAGCTACTCGGGTGGCTAAGGCATGAGAATTGCTTGGACCCAGGAGGTGGAGGTTGTGGTGAGCTGAGATCACACCACAGCACCCTAGCCTGGAGGACAGAGCAAGACTCTGTCTCAATCAATCAATAAAAAGTTTTTTTTAAAAAGAAAACGTTGTTAACTATAGTTACCCTACTCTGCTATCAAACATTAGAAATTAAATCTTCTAACTGTAGTTTGTACTGTAGCTTATATTCTAAACTGATTTTTATTCCTAATATTGGTTTACTTGTGCATTCTTTTTTCTTTCTTTATAATCGTCACCAGAATTGTGTTGATTTTGCGAATTTCTTCAAAACATCAACTTTTGCCCTTGTTTTTAATTTCTTTGCTCATCTTTATTTTTTCTTTCCTTTTACTCTTTTGGGTGATTATTTCATTGTTTTATTTCAGATTTTTTGCTATGAGCACAGCTCGTTAATTTGGAGCCTTATTTTCTATGAGAAGTGTTGAAGGCCACACAGTTTTCTCTAAATTAGTATTAACTGTACACTGCAAGTTTTGCTATGTAATAATTTCATCAACTTTTGGTTCTAAATATTTCTAATTGCCATTGTAATTTCTTCCTCCACAAATGCCTTATGGTTGAAGGATTTAATTTTTAATGGTCATTTTTGTAGATATTCCATGGATGCTTGAGAACACCATACATTCTATACTTACTGGATATGGAGTTCTATAAGTTGTCATTAGATCAAGCTTATTAGTTGTGTTGTTGAAATCTTTTTTTTTTTTTGAGATAGGGTCTCACTGCGTTGCCCAGTCTGGAGTGCAGTGGCACGATCATGGCTTACTGTAGCCTCGACCTCCTGGGATCAAGCGATCCTCTGACCTCAGCCTCCTGAGTAGCTAGGAAGACGGGTATGTGCCACCATCCTTGGTTAATTTTTAAATTTTTTGTAGAGACAAAGTCTTGCTATGTTGCCCAGGCTGGTCTTGACCTCCTGCGTTCAAGCAATCCTCCCACCTTGGCCTCCCAAAGTGCTCGGATTACATGCATGAGCCACCTTGCCTGGCCCAAATCTTTTATATTCTTAATTTATTGATTTTTTACTGCTTATTTTATCAATCACAGAAATGTGTGTTGAACTAGCTCATGAAATAGTTGACTTGTCTAATTTTCCTTGTAATTCTGTCAATTTTAGTTCATTTTTGAAGCTATATTATTATATTTGTAGAAGTTTATAATTGTTATGCCTTATTGGAAAATTGAATATCTTATCATTATATAGTAATCTTTTAATCTCTAGTTCTGTTTTGTCCTAAAATATATTTTTTCTGATATTACTGTTGCTATACACACTTTTTGGAAACTTAGTATTTACCTGGTACATCATTTTCCAGCCTTTTCTTTTCTTTTCTTTCTTTCTTTTTTTTTTTTTTTTTTTTGAGATAGTCTCGCTCTGCTGCCCAGGCTGGAGTGCAGTGGCATGATCTTGGCTCACTGCAACCTCTGCCCCTCCTGGGTTCAAGCGATTCTCCTGCCTCAGCCTCCCGAGTAGCTGGGACTATAGGTGCGCACCACCACGGCTGCCTAATTTTTGTATTTTTAGTAGAGACGGGGTTTTGCCGTGTTGGCCATGCTGGTCTCGAACTCCTGACCTCAGGTGATCTGCCCACCTCAGCCTCCCAAGATGCTGGGATTACAGATGTCAGCCACTGCGCCCGGCCAATTTAGGGTTATTATTGATACATTTATTTATACCATCTTATTTTGTGTTTTCTTGTCTTGTTTTTTCAATTTTTTTTGTCCTTTCTTGCCTTCTTTTGAATTAGTTTTTTTTCTCTTTTCTCTAACAGTTTGGAAGTTACATATACTCAGTTTCCAATATGCTATAAAATACCATATATTATTTAATATTTTAATATTTAGTATACTATGTTATGTGTCTTCACTATGATTATTCTGGGTGCACATTTCTTTTTATTTATTATAGTCGAAAGTTTTTTGGCTTCTCGAACCTGTGGATTAGGACCCTTTGTCATTTATAGAAAGTAATCCTTCATTAGACTATATGCTGCTGATAAAGACATACCCGAAACTGGGTAATTTATAAAGGAAAAGAGGTTTAATGGACTCACAGTTCCACATGGCTGGGGAGGCCTCACAATCATGGTGGAAGGCAAAGGCACGTCTTACATGGCAGCAGGCAAAAAGCGAATGAGAAGCAAACGAATGAGAAGCAAGCGAATGAGACGCAAGCAAAGGGGGTTTCCCCTTATAAAACCATCAGATCTCGTGAGACCTATTCACTACCACAAGAACAGTATGAGGGAAACCACCCCCATAATTCAATTATCTCCCACCAGGTCCCTCCCACAGCATGTGGGAATTATGGGAGCTATAATTCAAGATGAGATTTGAGTGAAGACACAGCCAAACCATATCACAGACCTTCTCAGTCTATCTTCCATGTCTCTTTAAGTTCTATTTCATATTTTCCATATCTTTAGCTCTCTTGGCTATATGTCGGGTAAGTTCTGTTCTATCTTCCATGTCTCTAATCATCCTTTCAGCTGTATCTAGATGTTAAACCTGTCTATGGAGTTTTAAATTTCAGTTGTTATATTTTTCATTTCTACAAGTTGTTTGATTTTTTTCCACATCTGCTTGCTCTTTTGTGATATTTTCAAGACTCTCTTTTATTTATTAAATGATATCAAACATACTTGTTGGATATACTAGGTTTGATAACTCCAGCATCTAAAGTCTGGATCTGAATCTGCTGTCTTGTTTCTGCTGGATCTCACTCATAGTGCCCTGTTTATTTGTATAGTTAGTGAATTATTTTATTTAGTGAATTATCTCATTTTCTTTGGAATATTACTGTGGGAATTCTTTGAGGTCAGGGATGAGGCAAATTTCTTAGTTCCTCTTGAAGGGATTTACACTTGCTTCTCTCAGGTAACTGTGGGCATTACAAGCCTAGGACCATTTCTAATCAAATTTTTGGCTCCAGGTTTTGTGTGTGTGTGTGTGTGTGTGTGTGTGTGTATGTGTTTATCTTTTAGGAAGGGGGATAGTGCCTGGTCATGTAAATTCATGAGGGCAGGCTCATGATTACAAATTCTGAAGGGAGATAGCCCACCCCCAGCTCAATTTGATTAGCATCAGGATCCAACAAGGGCAGTTTTCCTTTCAGTCCTGTAGGGATGGAATAATTTTTTTCTTCCTTTTTTTTTTTTTCTTTCCGAGACAGAGTCTTGCTCTGTCACCTAGGCTGGAGTGCAGTGGCATGATCTCGGCTCACTGCAGCCTCTGCCTCCCAGGTTCAAGCAATTCTCCTGCCTCAGCCTCTTGAGTAGCTGGGATTACAGGCGCATGCCACCACACCCAGCTAATTTTGTATTTTTAGTAGAGACGGGGTTTCATCATGTTGGCCAGGCTGGTCTCGAACTCCTGACCTCGTGATCCGCCGGCCTCAGCCTCCCAAAGTGCTGGGATTACAGGCGTGAGCCACTGTGCCCGGCCAAATTTATTTCTTAGGCCACCTTTATATTAGAACGTGGCCCTCCAGAGTCACAGTTTTGCGGGGAGTCTCCTGTTAGGCTTCCCTCCGGGTGGGCAGTAAGCTTTATCTTCTGTCCTGCTAGTCCCGAGAAGCTACCAAGTCCTGAAAACCTAATTTGCATAACCCAACTTTGAGGGTATCTACAAAAAATAGCTTTTTGTTTCCTAGTCTTTACAGTACAATAAGACACCCTAGAAGGAGATAGAAATAGTGGAAGGGGTCCCTGCTGTCAAATGGCATGCAATATAGAGGCCTGAAGTGGCCAGTGGTTTGGATAATGAGGAAGCCAAGGAGGCTCTCAAATTCACAGTTTTGTATGTATCCTCAACTCCAAACCTGGCTCCTGGCTTTGCATACCTCTCTAAGTCCCTGTCTTCATGCCCAAGTATTACTTACATTTTCTTCGGCTTACATACTATTTTATCCAGCATTTTAGTTATTTTCAGCACTTTATTCCTTTTATAATTCAAGGACAACTTTCCACTTGTGTCCTGTTTAACAACCTTTATTTTTTTTTTCTATTCATAAACATAATACAAAATTGTTGTAGAAAAAGTAAAAAGTGCAATAAGCCAAAAAGGGAAAATGGAAATTACATGCAGTTCCTGTCACTCAAAAAAACACTGTTAGGCCGGGCATGGTGGCTCACGCCTGTAACCCCAGAACTTTGGGAGGCTGAGGCCGGCGGATCACCTGAGGTCAGGAGTTCAAGACCAGCCTGGCCAACATGGTGAAACCCCGTCTCTCCTAAAAATACAAAAATTAGCAGGGCGTGGTGGCGGGCGCCTGTCATCCCAGCTACTGGGGAAGCTGAGGCAGGAGAATCGCTTGAACCTGGGAGGCGGAGTTTGCAGTTGGCCAAGATCGCGCCACTGCACTCCAGCCTGGGGGACAAGAGCGAGACTTCGTCAAAAACAAAAAACAACAAAAAACAAACAAACAAAAAACACTGTTAACATTTTGATATATGATTTTCTTGGAAAATATAGGATTATATTTGTTTATTCTTATATATCTACACTTTGGCATAATGTTGGCATGAGAAATAGTCATGTTGAGAGTTAAGACAGGGATTGAGAAAAGCTAAATTAGTTTAAGCCGTGTCAAATTATTCTCAAGGAAGTCATATATTTAAGGGACAGCCTTGGTCAGCGGATCCTTCTGGTCATGATTTGGGGGAGGGGGGCAGGAAACATGAGGGGATTGTGTTGCTATCACAGGATGTGTCTCAAAACTACTATGCGGGAACTTGTATATCTCCACAACTGCTGAAGGCATCTGCTGAGGGTGAGTGGGAACGGAGGATGCTATACCTAGGTCTCTGAGCTGGGCTCCAGAAGAACGGATGGCAGGCTGTTCCTCAGCGTATGGGAAGGTGGGCAAGTTGGCATCATGACTTCCGCTATGGAGCAAGCCAGTCTCATGGGCATGTGGCCTTCGATAGCATGGCTCTGCTGTCCTCTATCTCACCCTCGCCCACTCTTATTTTGCCCTCCAGTTACTACACACCCCTGCCCAAGCCTGTGCCATTGCCTGGGGCTGCTCCATCTCAGTAGTGTAGCTTTGCAACATTGAAATTGAGTTTTGTCTCTATAAGGGATGTCTGACCATTCAGTGAGTATTTTCAATGTATCTATTATATATTTGTAAATGGAAGGGGATCATACAATGTTTGCTTTAAAATTTGTTTTGTCACATAGGAAAGTATGACCATCTTTCCATATATCATGAGCATCCCCTCCCACCAGCTGCAAGTTCTCCTTCCATCATGCATCTACTCCTTCCCTCTGTTCTCTTTGGTTGACACCTTCCTTTCCATTAATAAACACGTTCATCTCTCTACCATTCTTAGAAAAACAACCAACCAAAACTCCCTTGAAACTGTATGTCCCCTCCTTCTACTACTACCTTTCTCTCCTCCTCCTCCCTTCACAGGGATCCTCAAACCATCTGCATTCACTGAATTCACTCCTCGCTTTTTAATTTCAATTTTTTTTAGAGAGGGGGCTCTCGCCTCCTTGGCTTCCGCGTTGTCAAAACCATTGGCCACTTCAGGCCCCCCACACTGCCTGCCATTTGACAGCAGGGATCCTTCCACTATTCCTAGCTCCTTCTAGGGTGTCTTACTGTACTGTGAGGGGTAGGAAACAAAAAGCTACATTTTGTGGACACTCTTGAAGTTGGGTTATGCAAATTAGGTTTTCAGAATCTAGAAAGCAGATGTGAGACAGGCCATATTTTTTGCAGTTTTCTTTGTTTTCTCCTGGGAAACAAGATCATTGAAGACATGGGATGTTCGTGCATCAGCTTTCCACTATCCAGTCCCCACTTTGTGGGAATGGAGGACACAGTTGCAGTTATGGTGGCCACAGTACTGTGTTACAAAACCCAGCTAAGTTCTACAGGTGGCTTTACAGTAGCCTGACTGTTACAGGAGTGGTCGCTCCTTTATGGAGTTACTTCTGGGTGTTCAGAGAGATTTTCCTGGAGGCCCAAATAGAGGTCATTTTTCAGTGTACCGAATGATTTTTACTACCTATTTGCCTGTATCAAATTCCTTTTCTGCTGGCTTCTATTTCTTGTACTGAACCTTCACCATTTGGTATCAGAAGTGGCTGTAGCCAATAGGCCCTTAAGGATGACAATATTCATTTGCTAAAAGAAAATAACGGCTGGGAGCGGTGGCTCACACTTTTAATCCCAGCATTTTGGGAGGCCGAGGCGGGTGGATCACCTGAGGTCAAGAGTTTGAGACCAGCCTGGCCAACATGGTGAAACCCTGTCTCTACTAAAATGACAAAAATTAGCTGGGCGTGGTGGTGTGCACCTGTAATCCCAGCTACTCAGGAGGCTGAGGCAGAATTGCTTGAACCTGGGAGACAGAGGTTGCAGTGAGCCGAGATTGCATGACTGCACTCCATCCTGGGCGATAGAGCAAGAACCTGTCTCAAAAAAAAAGAAAAAAGATGAAAGAAAGAAAGAAGAAAGGAAGGAAGGAAAGAAAGAAAAGAAAGAAAGAGAAAGAAAGAAAGAAAGAAAGAAAGAAAAGAAAACAACTACCTGCCTATCCTTTATGCCCAGAAAGAAAAAAATCTTTCAAGAACAAGGACAAAATAAAGATATTTTCAAGAAAACCAAAACTGAAAGTTCTTCACAAGCAGATATTCAGAAAATTATAAAGAATATATATCAGGCAGAAGGAAAAATGGTTCCAGATAGAAGTTCTGAGACGGAAGTAGGAATAAAGAGCAAAATAAGTTGGTCATTAAATGAGAGACATGTGGAAGGTGGAAGTCAAATAAATACCATCTTCCTGCTGCTTTGACTGTTTCCTTCTAGCGAGTAAGGTATAGGAGATGGATACAGTTTCTGAAGTAGTATTCCATGCTCATTCACCGGCTTCGTTGGGTGCTGCTGACAGGCGGCTGTGGTGGTTGGGCAATGGCTTTCTAACCCTGAGTCATAATTAAAGTGCTGTGTTCTTGAATGCAATAGTTCCAGTGCTGGTCTCCTGAGTCCTCACTTTCCTGATACGGGACAGAAGTAGTAGCTCCATTGGTCAGTTTTGCAGTGTTCTAGGAGTCATTCCTGGGGATTCAGCCTAGAGCTTGATCACCCAACCCTTCCAAAGGTTTTGTAAGCAGCTAATTCCCTATATTAACTCCTTTTTGCATAAAACATTTAGTTGTTTGCAAACAACAACAGCAAAAACAATGCAAGCTGCTTCAACAATTCATCATGTTGCCAGGTGTGGTGGTGCACCCCTGTAGTCCCAGCTCCTTGGGAGGCAGAGGCAGGAGGATTGCTTGACCCCAGGAGTTCAAGGTCAGCCTGGCAACACAGCGAGACCCCCATCTCTTAAAAGAAAAAGCAGGAAACAATTGATCATGTCACATAAAAAAACAACCAGACTTGGTACTGCCAGGGTCCCTTGCCGCTTCTCAGGTCAGCCTTGATGCTGCCTTTCTCTTTGTGTGGACATAATCCTCAGTTCCAGCCATCTCGTCCAGACATGACAAACTGAGAAGTGTCTGTATTTTTGAGGCTATCTCTTTTTAAAACAGGTTTATTGAAATATAATTAATATACCGTATAATTTTAAAGTGTACAATTCAATGGTTTTTGGTATATTCGTAGACAGGTGCAACCATCACCACAGTCAGTTTTACAAATTTTCATCACTCAAGAAGAACCCCATATCATTTAGTTATCACCTCCCATCCTTGTCCACCACCCCAGACTCTGGAAACCACTAATCTTCTTTCTGTCTCTATAGAATTCCCTATCCTGAACTTCCATATGAATGAAATCGTAAGGTCTGTATGGGGAAAAGAAAGAGAGATCAGACTGTTACTGTGTCTATGTAGAAAAAGGAAGACATAAGAAACTCCATTTTGATCTGTACTAAGAAAAATTCTTCTGCTTTGAAATGCTATTAATCTGTAACCCTAGCCCCAACCCTGTGCTCACAGAAACATGCGCTGTATTGACTCAAGGTTAATGGATTTAGGGCTGTGCAGGATGTGCTTTGTTAACAATGTGTTTGAAGGCAGTATGCTTGGTAAAGGTCATCGCCATTCTCCAGTCTTGAGTACCCAGGGACACAATGCACTGTGGAAAGCCATGGGGACCTCTGCCCAAGAAAGCCTGGGTGTTGTCCAGGCTTCCCCACACTGAGACAGCCTGAGATGTGGCCTCGTTGGAAGGGAAAGACCTTACATTATAGTCCCCCAGCCGGACACCCATAAAAGGTCTGTGCTGAGGAGGATTACTGAAAGAGGAAGGCCTCTTTGCAGTTAAGAGGAAAGCATCTGTCTCATGATCCCCTGGGAATGGAATGTCTTGGTGTAAAACCTGATCGTACATTCTATTTACTGAGATAGGAGAAAACCGCCCTATGGCTGGAGGTGAGACATGCTGGTGGCAATACTGATCTTTACTGCACGGCAATACTGATCTTTACTGCACTGAGATGTTTATGTAAAGTTAAACATAAATCTAGCCTACGTGCACATTCAGGCATAGCACCTTTCCTTAAACTTATTTATGACACAGAGTCTTTTGTTCACATGTTTTCCTGTTGACCCTCTCTCCACCATTACCCTATAGTCCTGCCACATCCCCCTCACTGAGATAGTAGAGATAATGATCAATAAATACTGAGGGAATTCAGAAACCAGTGCCGGTGCAGGTCCTCACTTGCTGAGTGCCGGTCCCCTGGGCCCACTTTTCTTCCTCTATGCTTTACCTCTGTGTCTTATTTCTTTTCTCAGTCTCTCGTCTCCACCTTGCGAGAAATACCCACAGGTGTGGAGGGGCAGGCCCCCTTCAGTCTCTGGAGGCCTTTGTGGCTGGCTTCTTTCACTTAGCAGAATGTTTTCGTGGTTCGTCCGTGTTGTAGCAGGTATCACTACGTCCTTACTTTTTATGGCCAAGTGATATCCCATTGTGTGGATATACCATATTTTGTGTGCCCATTCATCCATTGATGAACCTCTGAGTTGTTTCCATGTTTTGGCTATTGTAAACAGTGCTACTATAAACTTTTGTGTACAAGTTTATTCGTGGACATATGTCTTCATTTCTCTTGGTATATACGTAAAGTCCCTGCATCCTATGGTAACTTTATGTTTAATCATTTGGGGAAACTTCCAGGTTGTTTTCCAAAGTGGCTGTATCATTTTACATTCCCACCAGAAATGTATGACGGTTCTAACCAACACTTGTTATCTGACTTTTGGGTTCCATCCATCTCAGTGGGTGTGAAGTGGTATCTCATTGTGGTTTTGATTTGCACCTGCATTTCTCTTTAAGATCAAGGAAATCTTTTCCAGAAGTTCACCAGCAGACTTTCTATCAAGTGCTGTTGAACAGAACTGCATCAAATACACCTTCCCAAACCAGTCACTGGCAAGGGAAATGAGATTACTGATGAAGACTCACCTCCTGGGTTGGAGCTGGCACTGTGGGAGCTTACCCTAACAACAGGTTCTGTTAGGAAGGAGGAAGGAGGCAGAGGATCAGCTAGCTGTGTGGCTGCTACACGTGGCTTCCACGGGCTCTCACAGCTTTCCTCCTCCTCAGGCCATTTGTTCTTAGGCTTCTCTTCCTCTGTCCACCCCTTAAATGTCAATGTTCCTGGTCTTCAATGTCCTCCATATACACTCTTTTGGATCATCTCATTTATTCTCATGGTTTCCATTTCTACTTGATGCCTTCTGAAATTGCTTCTTTTCTGAGCTTCGGATTTACTGATAATAATAAGGAATAGTATAACAATAATAATAGCACTACCTTTTTTTATTTGTTTGCTTTTATTTTTATTTTTATTTATTTATTTATTTATTTTGAGACGGAGTCTCACTCTGTCGCCCAGGCTGGAGTGCAGTGGTGCAATCTCAGCTCACTGCAAGCTCCACCTCCCGGGTTCACGCCATTCTCCTACCTCAGCCTCCCAAGTAGCTGGGACTACAGGCGACTGCCACCAGGCCGGCTAATTTTTTGCATTTTTAGTAGAGACGAGGTTTCACCATGTTAGCCAGGATGGTCTCGATCTCCTGACCTCGTGATCCGCCCACCTCGGCCTCCCAAAGTGCTGGGATTACAGGCATGAGCCACCGTGCCCGGCCTAGCACTACCATTTTTTTTTAATTTTTTTGAGATGGAGTCTTGCTTGTCGCCTAGGCTAGGTGCAGTGGCACGATCTTGGCTCACTGCAACCTTTGTCTCCCAGGTTCAAGCGATTCTTCTGCCTCAGCCTCCTAAGTAGCTGGGACTACAGGCACGCATCACCACGCCTGGCTAATTTTTGTATTTTTAGTAGAGATGGGGTTTCACCATCTTGGCCAGGCTGGTCTCAAACTCCTACCTCATGACCCACCTGCCTCGGCCTCCCAAAGTGCTGGGATTACAGGCGTGTGCCACCGTGCCCAGTCTAGCACTGCCATTTATTAGATACATATTACCTTCCAGGCTTTGTACCTTATCTTATTTAATTATGGGAAGTCTATAACCCTATCCTTTTTTTTGTTTTTTAAGACAGGGTCTCACTCTGTCACCCAGGCTGGAGCGCAGTGGCATGATCTCAGCTCATTGCAACCTCTGCCTCCCAGGCTCTAGCAATCCTCCCACCTCAGCCTCTATGAACCTATTCTTATCCCTGTCTTACACACAAATGAACAGGCTTTTTGCAAAAGGTAACGGAACTACTAAGTTGGTGGAGCTGGAAGATGGACCCGGTCTGTTTGACTCCACTGCCCTGCTCCACTGCCCGTTAGGCTTCTGTACCTGCTTCAAACACAGGGCAGCCCAAAAGAACTCATCACCTTCCCTGGAATGAGCCCTGTCCCCATGCTCCCTACAGCAATGAGGAAACTACCATGTATTAGTGTCCCACACTCCTGGTACCAATTTACTGTGTTAATCTATTCTCACACTGCTATAAAGAACTGCCCAAGACTGGGCAATTTCTAAATAAAAGAGGTTTCATTGACTCACAGTTCTACATTGCTGGGGAAGTTTCAGGAAACTTACAGTCATAGCGGAAGGGGAAGCAGGCACCTCTTCACAAGGTGGCAAGAGAGAGTGTGAGTGGAGGAAATGACGGACGCTTATGGAACCATCAGATCTCATGAGAACTCCCTAACTATCCGAAGAACAGCGTGGGGGAAACCACCCCATGATCCGATCCTCTCCCACCGGGTCTTTCCCTCAACACTTGGGGATTACAATTCAAGATGAGATTGGGGCGGGGACACAAAAGCCTAACCATGTCATACCATTTGCCCAATTTAGTCCAGAATCCCACGGGCTATCTCCCTCCTCCTTTGTCCCTGCACTACGTAATGCCAACGTTGCTTGCTAATTATTCCTTGAACCCAGCTCTTGTTCCTCATTCTCCACTGTCATTGTCTGAGTCCAGGTATGCTGTGACTGGTGTGCATGTACCTGGGATTTCTTAGCCTTAGGGGTGGCTGGCTGTGCAGAATCTTTGGATGGCTGGAGGCCCTGGGTTGGTTGTTTCTGTTTGCAAACAGCCCCCTCCTTTGTTAACCAGTGTGTCATATAACAGCAATCATTTTCTGTGGATGAATAATGAGGGAGATGGTAAGAAGCATGACCTGGAGTAGACTGCACCGCCATCCGCCTCTCCACTTTCCCTCTCTCACTGCATCCTTCCTTCTGACTGCGGCAGAGACAGGCCGAATCACTCCCCTGTGAGAAACCTCTGGATGGGGGGCCATCCCCTCACCACCCTGAGGACCAGGTCCACATTCCTTACTGTGGCTGACAAGGCCCTCCATAGCTTCCAGTGTCCCCTTCCCGCCTCCACTCCTGTGTTCGTGAGTAGAATTCGGTGCTCCAGAAACATCACGCCTTTCTGCAGCCCTCTCCTCTATTCCGTGCTGTTTCTCACCCCAGCTTCTTGGCTCACACGGTTTCACTTACCCAATACGCTAATAACATGGAGGTTAAGACCAGCGGTGGCATCAGGTAACCCGGTTCAAGTCGTTGCTCTCTGTCACTTGTTCATGGTGAAAGCACTCAATCTCTCTGAACCCCAATTTATACCTCAGCTTTAAAACAAGTACCTATCTCAGGGCTGTTGTGAAGATGAAATGAAGAAAATATGCAGACATAAGTGGTTGCTTTCTTTATCCATCTTGCTTAACTGCCCTAACCCCCAAGAAGTCTTCCCTAACCCTCCTTCTGAAGGACCCTGTGCAAAACTCTGCAGGCGCCATGCGCTGACTGTTGTCTGATTATTTCTCTGCCCTGCTTGGCTGAGGTCTCCCAGGCATGGAGTCCCTTTGAGATTCATCTCCAGCCTGGGTGGGCCCACTGGGGCCCATCTGTCAAGGACAGAGCAGGAGGTCCTCCGGAGAAGGTGACAACGTAGTGGGGCATCGACCATAACAAATGCGGGAGCTCCAGGGAACGACCCCCGCCCGCTGGCGTCTCTCCAGTCTGAGACCCCACTGGAGGAGCTGTCCATGTGGCTGCCTCTCGCCTTTTATCCCAGGGGACAGAGCCAACGCCAAGCATGGCAACCACCCACCTTAACCTAATCAGGATGCAGCCTGCTCATTAATTCATTCATTCATTCAGAGGGATCTGTCCGGGTGCGGGTCCAGCACGGGTCCAAATCCTGCATCTCCAGTAGCCTCCTGGGGGTCGGTCGTCGGGAGGGCTCGTGAGCGGAAGGCTTTAGGATGAAGCGACAGGGCCCAGAGTCGTGGAGATTGGACTGGGGGGCAGGGGAGCAGGCATTGACAACCACGCCGACAGGGGCATCCCGCGCGCCTGTGTGGGAGAATGTGTAGGGCAAGCAGCAGGGAGAGACCATCTCAGAGACAGGGGAACAGCCAAGCAGAAACCACTGTGCTGGGCGCGGGGGGAGGCCGGGAAAGACAGCACATCTGCGGGGCGGGAGGAGGGGAGGGAAGGGAGTAGAAACACTGCTCCCGCCAGCCGCGGGTGATGGGGACACGTGTCCAGCTCGCTGAGTCCGAGGGCCTGGGCCCGCTTTGGGTGCCCTGTTTCTCCGGCGCCCAGGTGTGTGCGCAGAACCGTGTCTGCTCCAGGGACAGCCGTGAACGAGCGCCGTCCGGAGTGGCAGGGCCATCAGGTGTGGCTCATTCCAAGAAAGGTCCGTACCTTCACATGTAAACTTCCTGGCAAAGCTGCTGGGTTGCCGCTTATGGGAGAAGGCGGCGGGCCCAAGGTTCGGCCCCTTTGTCTGAATCTGGCATTTGGAGCAGGCTTTAAGACTTCGGGAAAAGCCGGGCCCCTGTGCAACCACCAAAGGCTGCTTCTCCCGCCCTCAGGACTAAGATCTTGTTCCAGTCCTCCAGTCCTCGGGGTCTACTCCAGGGGTACAAGGTGAGAGTGGCTCTCCAGAGTCCATTTGCCTTTTGGTGCCGCACTGCATCCTCACTTTGACCCTGAGCGCTGCAGTAAGCCCTGCAGGGTGCTCCACCTTGAAGCACGGGAAGATCTGATGCTGGCCGCCTTCTTCCTTCGGTTGCCTGAAAGGGCCCGTGTTTATCCTTCGCTTCACAGAGAACGCAACACACAACATTAAACACACATAGAGAGTGAAAGAGAACAAGGCATCTTCATCAAGGAGGGCGCACCATTTAACCACCCGCGACCTTGCAGTGCGCCTCTGCAAAGTGGGGACTCCGCTCTGTAGCAGGAGATGGGGGTGTTGACGATTTTGAAAGTAGTTCTCAGTTTTCCGAGGCAAAGGTGTCTGGGGCTGACGAATGACTTTTGAGAAGAAGGAATGATGAGAAATGTCCTCATTACAGAACTTTCCCGGCCACACTGTGAGTCCCACGCAAAGACCCCATGACCACCAACCGGAGCGCTGGGTGCTCCCTGGCAGGGTCACCTTTGCTTTTTGCGCGCCCCCATGCCACCCCTGGGGCAGGAGGCCATCCTCTTATCCTGGGAGTGCAGGCCTGGCCCGAAGTGCAGCCCCCGAGGCCGGGAGCCGAGATTCTTCTCGGCTTCGTGCTCAGAGCTTTGCAGCGTGGCATGGTTTCCTCCTCTTGCCCTGTTGCTGTTTCATACCAGGGGGAACTGAGACCCAGTCGGGTTATGGGCCTCCCTGAGAACACTGGCCTCTAGCAGAAGCAGATTCAACCCCAGGCCTCAACCTGCGCCCAGACCCGTGCCCTGGAGTGGAGTTTACCCACTGCCGCCCTTCCTGGGCAAATGTCACCGCTGCCTCCGTCCCCCTAGGTCCGGGGCGGGTCAGTGCTTCGAGCCAGCGGACCCCGGCCTAGGGACAGGTGCCTGCGAGAATGCGGGGGGCGGCCCCCAGCTCCCCTGCCCTCCTCCCTAGAGGCTGGGCCTGCTGGTCTCCCGGCTGCGCGCAAGGTGGGAACGCGGCCGACTTGGTCCGCTCGCCCTCCCCGCACCCGCTCCTCTGGAGCCGCTGGGGCTGCGCACCGACTCACCCGCGCGGCCTCCGGGCTGCGCCTTCAGCGCTGGCGGCGTCCTGCCCGGCGAGGGCCAGGGTCCCAGGAGGCCCCGGAGGCGGCGGGACCGCAGGGCGGAGGGGAGGCCGTGGGAGCGGCCGGGCGCGCCTCAGCAGCGCGGAGACTGGGGCCGCCGCCGCCGGCGCAGGGCGGGCCGGGAGGGAGGAGGAGCGCGCGGGCGGGGCCGCCGTGTACGTCCCCGCGCTCCCGCCCGGCCTGGCCCCGCGGTCCCGGAGCGAGCTGGGGCCGCGCTGGGGAGGGTCCTGGGGGCGCCGCCGTCCCTCGGGCCGGGCAACGCCGGGCGGGGACCGGTCTCGCCCCGCCGCGCTCGGGCTCCCTCCCCGGCGGCCCCTCCTCGGCGAACAGCCTTTCGGCGCGGGGGGCTGTTAAACCAGACACCCCAGGCCACACTCCTCTCGTTCGAAATGACCATTTCGGGGTTCTCCGTGGCGGGGAGCTCCGCCGCCGCCGTCCCCCTTCCACGCGCGGGAGGTCGGCGAGGGCAGGGCGGGGACCCGGAGTGCGGCCCCCGGTCCTGCTTCGTGGCCCGAAACGCCTCGCAATGGAGTCACTCATGACAGGGGACTCAGCGCACGGGGCGGCTGCTGAGCCCCGCAGCGATCGGCGGGCGTGAGGGGTTCCCCGGC
The DNA here is from genome assembly GCF_000001405.40 of Homo sapiens. NCBI lineage: Eukaryota > Metazoa > Chordata > Mammalia > Primates > Hominidae > Homo > Homo sapiens. The sequence continues at coordinate 196,969,355 of NC_000003.12, forward strand.
GTGGTTGCCCGGGAGCCTGTCAGCCCCAGCAGCCCTGACAGGAAAGGGAAGTCGAGAGGAGGCTGAGCGAACGGCCGCCACCCCCGCGGGACGCTGACCCGGGCGGACCCCGAGGGGCCTCTCCCCGCGCCAGAGCGCGGCGTGCGCGGGGAAGCGCGACCCACCGGGGTCGGCGACGGCGCGCGGGGCGGGCGCGGCGGTTCCCTCTCCTCCGCCCGTGCCCGTGGGATCGGCGGGCTTGTCGGGCTGGGAGAGCCTCGTGGAACCCGGGCATCCGGGCAGCAGCGGCCTCCGAGCCACTGTGGAGGCGCCCGGGGTCGGCACGGCGAGGCCGACGGGGACCTGACACGGTCACGCGGCGCCGGGGAGCAGGTTCGAGTGGCCGGGCGTGGCCGTGCTGCCCCTCCGCGTTCCGCAGGCGGCGACGGGCGAGCGGCCCTAGCGGGCTGCAGGGAGGACGCCGCGTGGACGGAGAGCCGGCGCCCGGGGGCCAGATCCCCTCCCGGGACGGGGCGCCAGGTCCCCGCGAGCTGCGGCGCGACGCGCGGGCACCCGTGTCCCACCCGGTGGCCTCGCCGCTGCGGGCTGCGCTGAGAGCGGGGTGGCGCGACGCGGTCCCTCACCGCAGGGGGAAGACGGCACCACCGCGTCCCGGCCGCTGGAGCTTCCCGCCCGCGCCGCCGGCCCGACGCTGCCCCCTGGCGGGAGAGCGCTGCAGGGGCCCCGGCGAGGCCGCAGGACCCGACCTCCCCGCCGGCCTCGCACTCCCGCGCCGCCGCCGAGGGTCGGCAGCCGGATCGCCCTCCGTGCCCCATAGCACCCCTCACACTAAAAACGACGACTTTATTAAGATGTGAGGTATTCTATACATACGATAAATACCAGGAAATTTAAGTACAGTACATGGAAGTATACAGTTCCATGAATTTTTTCCTTTATTTTTTAGATACAGGGTCTCTGTCGCCCAGGCTGGAGTGCGGTGGCACGATCTCGGCTCACCGCAGCCTTGAACTTCTAGGCTCCAGCGATCCTCCTGCCTCAGCCTCCCGAGCAGCTGGGACCACAGGCCCCGCCACCATGCCCGGCTCAGTTCCATGACTTCTGACACGCGAAACCACCAGGCTAGTCTCCCCCCGAGTTCAAGAAGTCCTCTCCTCCCAAAAGTACCCTCCTGCCCCTCTGCAGCTAACCCCTCACCTCCCCTCCGCCCTGGTTCCAGACAACTGCTCCTCTGATTTCTGTCACTGCCCTTTGCCTCTCTCGCAATTGCATGCAAGGAGAACCATTCACCGTGTGGTCTTTTGTGCCTGGCTTTCTTCGCTTGGCACCATGCAGCTGAGCGTCGCCCGTGTGGCGTGTGTGTGTTGTATTTTCCTCTACCTTGGTCTTGAGACCTCCCTGGAGAGCCACTGTAAAGGCCAACTCTGCCCTGACAGGGCTCCTGGGATTTGGGCGTGGGTGTTTGCCGTGGGCCTTTCATGGGGCACCTCTGTATCCTGGCTGACCTGTGACCGGGTGTCCCTCTCCCAGGAGACATATTTATCCTGGCAGATCTCCTTGTGCTTCTTGTCTGACCTGTATCTAGTTTATTCCTACCAAGATAGCTGCTCTCTAGGGAAAGCCCTGACCAGGGAAAACGTTACGTTTGAGCGTCTCAGTCAGGCATGACACAGAGCAGGCAACACAACGAAACACAGGAACTAACAGAAGTGGTCCTATTACTTACAGATCCACAGGGGAAGAGGGCACACTGAGGGCCGTCGGGAATGTCTTGGGGACACTGTACACAATCGTTGTGGGGGTGGGGGGAGCCAGAGAGAGACGGACCTGTGGGCTGAGGCTTTTATTGGAGTGCAGGGCATTACTCAAGCAGTTTTCCCAAGGGGAGCTCTAATTGGTTCACCTAGAGGAGCGAACTGGAGTCCTGTGGGGCCACCTTGTGACTTAGGGGTGGTCACTGAGACATATCTGCATAGTCCATGCAGGGTGTGGGCGTCAGTGGGGTGAGTCTAGTTGGTTGTATGTATACATCCCACAAGGAGGCAGTTACCAGGAGGTGGCTACCTAGGACCAGATATCTGGACGGAATGTGTTGAGATACTGTTTCCAGCAGAGAGCTGGAAACTGTATCCAAGGTGACTAAGCCCTGCTTCTAGTATGAAATTGTTAACCCTATATTCAAAATGGATACTGAAGCAACCTAAAATTTCAGGTATTTACTAAAGTGTGTATCAAGTTCCCTCCTTACCACTGGTGAGTAGTATTCCATTGTATGGATATGCCACAGGCTGTTTGTCCATTTGGACATTGATGGATGGACTAAAGTTGGCCAAGCTGGGCTGGTGGGGAGGCACCCTCTCAGGACCCCAAAGGAGGATGCGGGGTTGTTGTTGGATGTCTGGGTTGTTTCCAGTTTGAAGGCATTGTGAATAAAACTGACTTGAGCCTTCCTAGAAAGTTTTTTGAATATACATATGTTTCATTTCTCTCGGATAAAATGCCTGGAAGTAGGCGGGATGGCTTGGTTGCATGGTGAGTCTTTTTTTAAAAAAATTTATTTAATTAATTAATTAATTAATTTTTTTGAGACGGAGTCTTGCTCTGTAGCCTAGGCTGGAGCGCAGCGGCACCATCTCAGCTCACTGCAAGCTCCGCCTCCCGGGTTCAGGCCATTCTCCTGCCTCAGACTCCCATGTAGCTGGGACTACAGGCGCCTGCTACCAAGCCCGGCTATTTTTTTTGTATTTTTATCAGAGACAGGGTTTCACTGTGTTAGCCAGGATGGTCTCGATCTCCTGACCTCGTGATCCATCCGCCTCGGCCTCCCAAAGTGCTGCGATTACAGGCGTGAGCCACCACACCCAGACTTTTTTTTTTTTTTTTTTTTTTGGGATGGAGTCTCGCTCTGTCGCCCAGGCTGGAGTGCAGTGGTGCAATCTTGGCTCACTGCAACCTCCGTCTCCTGGGTTCAAGTGATTCTCCTGCCTCAGTCTCCTGAGTAGCTGGGATTACAGGCTTGCGCCACCACACCCAACTAATTTTTGTATTTTGGGAGAGATGGGGTTTCACCATGTTGGTCAGGCTGGTCTTGAACTCCTAACCTTGTGATCCATCCGCCTTGGCCTCCCAAAGTGCTGGGATTACAGGTTTGAGCCACTGCGCCTGGCAGCATGGTAAGAAATTGTTTTTCAAAGTGGTCATACTATTTGACATTACCACCAGCAATGCATGAGAGCCCATAGCATTCTATGGTTTGTCTTTTCATTTTCTTTTTTTCCATGAGACAGGGTCTCATGCTGTCTCCCAGGCTGCAGTGCAGTGGTATAATTGTAGCTAAATGCAATCTCGAACTCCTGGGCTCAAGTGATCCTCCCACCTCAGCCTTCTGAGTAGCTGGGATGATAGGCACACGCCACTATGCCTGGCTAATTATTTTTATTTCAATTTTTTATCTTTAGTAGAGATGAGATCTCGCTATGTTGCCCAGGCTGGTCTTGAACTCCTGGGCTCAAGTGATCCTACTGCCTCAGCTTCCCAAAATGCTGGGAATACAGGTGTGAGCCACCACACCCACCTGTTTTTTCATTTTCCTAATGTTATCTTTCAAAGAGCCAAAGTTTCTAATTGTGACAGCGTCCAATTTATTAAACATTTTCCTTGATTGCCTACCTTAAGGTAAGGTTGCAAATATTTTCTCCTATATTTTCTTCTAGAATTGTATAGTTTTGGCTTTTTGTTTAGGTCTATGATACACTCAAACTAACTTTATGGGTGGTGTGAGGTAAGAATCAAGGGTCTTATTTATTTATTTATTTATTTATTTATTTAAGATGGAGTCTCATTGTCTCCCTCTCCCTCGCCCTCGCCCTCGCCCTCGCCCTCGCCCTCTCCCTCTCCCCACGGTCTCCCTCTGATGCCGAGCTGAAGCTGGACGGTACTGCTGCCTGATTCTCCTGCCTCAGCCTGCCGAGTGCCTGCGATTGCAGGTGCGCGCCGCCACGCCTGACTGGTTTTCGTATTTTTTTGGTGGAGACGGGGTTTCGCTGTGTTGGCCGGGCTGGTCTCCAGCCCCTAACCGCGAGTGATCCGCCAGCCTCGGCCTCCCGAGGTGCCGGGATTGCAGACGGAGTCTCGTTCACTCAGTGCTCAATGGTGCCCAGGCTGGAGTGCAGTGGCGTGATCTCGGCTCACTACAACCTCCACCTCCCAGCCGCCTGCCTTGGCCTCCCAAAGAGCCGAGATTGCAGCCTCTGCCCGGCCGCCACCCCGTCTGGGAAGTGAGGAGCGTCTCTGCCTGGCCGCCCATCGTCTGGGATGTGAGGAGCCCCTCTGCCTGGCTGCCCAGTCTGGAAAGTGAGGAGCGCCTCTTCCCGGCCGCCATCCCATCTAGGAAGTGAGGAGCGTCTCTGCCCGGCCGCCCAACGTCTGAGATGTGGGGAGCGCCTCCGCCCCGCCGCCCCGTCTGGGAGGTGTGCCCAACAGCTCATTGAGAACGGGCCATGATGACAATGGCGGTTTTGTGGAATAGAAAAGGGGGAAAGGTGGGGAAAAGATTGAGAAATCGGATGGTTGCCGTGTCTGTGTAGAAAGAGGTAGACATGGGAGACTTTTCATTTTGTTCTGTACTAAGAAAAATTCTTCTGCCTTGGGATGCTGTTGATCTATGACCTTGCCCCCAGCCCTGTGCTCTCTGAAACATGTGCTGTGTCCACTCAGGGTTAAATGGATTAAGGGCGGGGCAAGATGTGCTTTGTTAAACAGATGCTTGAAGGCAGCATGCTCGTTAAGAGTCATCACCACTCCCTAATCTCAAGTACCCAGGGACACAAACACTGCGGAAGGCCGCAGGGCCCTCTGCCTAGGAAAACCAGAGACCTTTGTTCACTTGTTTATCTGCTGACCTTCCCTCCACTATTGTCCTGTGACCCTGCCAAATCCCCCTCTGCGAGAAACACCCAAGAATGATCAATTAAAAAAAAAAAAAAAAAAAAGATGGAGTCTCGCTCTGTTGCCCAGGCTGGAGTGCAGTTGCATGATCTCGGCTCACTGCAACCTCCGCCTCCTGGGTTCAAGTGATTCTCCTGCCTCAGCCTCCTGAGTAGCTGGGATTACAGGCACCCGCCACAACACCTAGCTAACTTTTGTATTTTTAGTAGAGACAGGGTTTCAACATGTTGGCCAGGCTGGTCTCGAACTCCTGGCCTCAAGTGATCCACTGGCCTTGGCCTCCCAAAGTGCTGAGATTACAGGCGTGAGCCACCGTGCCCGGCCAAGGCTCATTTTTAGATATAGATCTAGATATCCACTTTTCTAGTACCATTTGTCGAGAAAGCTATCTTTACCTTGACACCTTTGTCAAAAATCACCTGTGGTTAATCCAGTGCTGGAGATAAGCAGGAGGTGCTCTGGGTGCCTTGAGAAGGGGGCACCCAATTAATCCAGCCAGGTCTAGTCCAGGAAGCCTTCCCAGAGGGGCAACAAAGGAATCCAGGCAGAGGGTCTGTTGGTAGCTTAGAGTTGTGTTTTTGTGGATTGTGTAGGTATAGCGGGGTGTGGGGAAGACGTAGAGCTAGAAGTAGGCAGGACCCAGATTGGGGTGGGGCGGGGACCTCATGTGCTTTGCTAAGGAGCATGCACTTTTTCCTGGGAGTGATGAGGGGCCACCGAGAGGCTTAGGCAGGGAAATAACACAGCCAGACTCTGGCAGTTTGGAACATTGACTCCGGCTGAGGAGGAAGGACTGAAGGAGGTTAAAATGGAGGCAGGCTGGCCAGTAACTGGGAGGTGATGATAGGAAGGGAAATTTCCTCTGATTATTCTTTTTGTTTTCTCTTTTAGTTAGAGGTGGAGTCTCACTAAGTTGCCCAGGCTGGTCTCAAACTCTTGGCCTGAAGCAACCCTCCTGCCTTGGCCTCCCAAAGTGCTGGGATTATAGGCATGAGCCACCATGCTTGGTCTACCTTGTTTTAAGAGTTGACTTTCGTATCATGCTGGAGAATGACCTATTCTAAATAAATGCCGTGGAATTCAGTAGGTAGAAGCCACAGGACTTGGTGACTGTTTTGGAGTGAGACTGACAGAAAGATGTTCTGTCTGGGGGAGTGGTTCTCAGCCTTCTTTCAGACTGATCATGCTGGACTTCCTGCCAGAGGCTCTGTGTCTGAGGGCCAGCAGGGAGGCCCAGGCCTCCGTGTTTTACAGGCCTCCACGGTGGCTTCTGATGTACAGCCAGCATTGAGAACCACTGCTCCAAGTTGACAGCAGATCTCATACTTGGCAAATGGGTGGGTGATAGTTCCAGTCCCGACACAGGGAGCACAGGGGGTGGAGCAGATTTAGGGGGAGTTTAAATTTGGTTTTAACTACTTGACACTTTGAGGTACTGTTGGGAGATTTCCATGCAGAGGAAAGTTGAATGTGTGGGTTTAAAGCTCAGAAGGGAAGGTGGACTGGGAAAACAGTCTGGTTGGACATCAGCACATGGAGCAGGGGTTAACCAGGAGCTTGTAAACCCAGGGAGTTATACAGACAGTTTTATGGGTATGCATACATGTACACTGTTTTTCCTGGGGCAAATAGGGTTTCTGATTTCCCAGGGCCCATGACCCCACAAAGGTTAAGAGCCTCTGATGAGGACAGTGGTTGATCCATGGGACAAAATAATATTACTGTGGAACCCTGCTGGGGCAAGAAGGGAAAAGGCCCCTTCTTTTCTCTGGCCCAGCTGGCAGGTGCTAGCTATCTGCCTCCCCTCAGGCCCCTGCCTGCCAGGGATCTATACCTCTCTAGCTGCCACAGCAACGCTTTGTCACCCTTTAGGTTCTTGTGTTTGATCGAAGTCTTTTCTCCTTTAATTTACATTTTTAACCAAAGTAATATATGTGCACAATTGTAAAAGTTAGGATAGATACACAAAACTTTTTTTTTTGTTTTGTTTTTTTTGAGATAGAGTCTCACTCTGTCACCCAGGCTGGAGTGCAGTGGTGCGATCTCGGCTCACTGCAACTTCCGCCTCCCAGGTTCAAGCGACTCTCCTGCCTCAGCCTCCCGAGTAGCTGGGATTACAGGCGCCCACCACCACGCCCGGCTGATTTTTGTATTTTTAGTGGAGATGGGGTTTCACCATGTTGGCCAGGCTGGTCTCAAACTCCTGACCTCAAGTAATCCTGCCCACCTTGGCCTCCCAAAGTGCTGGGATTACAGGCGTGAGCCACCATGCCCGGCCCACAAAACTTAAAATGAGAAACAGCCCCGAATATAAGAGCCTTTCCTTAGTCTGAGATGTAATTGAGTAACTCTAAGGCCTTCTCTGGGTCAGCCTCACTGTCATCTTCCCTCAAATAGTCCAGCCCCGCTTCTCCCTGTCATCAAGTCCTCTCCCCTTCCTTTGTCCCCTCTCACCTTTCCTCTTCCTTGTCCTCATTGTCACCATTGGTAAGCACGACTGAGCACCCAAAGGGTACCAAGACACTGTAGGAAGCTGGAGGATGGGTGCAGAGCCCATGCTGTAAGCATCTTTGTCTCGCTCTTTCTCTGCCCCAGGCCCGCATGGAGTGGCACAAAGTTCCCAGGCAGAACCAGGCTCAGGAACAGCTGAAGTCCTGGTCTGGCCTTCCTGTGGTTTTCCTAACTCACCAAGTTACAGGTCAGTTAGAGCAGCAGCGCTTCTGACCTCGGTGAGGAGTTGGAAGGATCTGGACGGGAAGTCAGAGCCTGGGTAACAGTCCTGGCTCTGCCACCCACTAGATGTGTAACCCCAAGTCAGCTGATTCCTCTCCAGGTGCCTCGGCTTCCGCATCTGTCGTATGACCCGTGATCTCTGGGAAGCCACACAGCTCAAGGTCTTGGGGGTAAGACACCTGATATAGCCCCGACCCTCTCAGGCCACGATGGTGCCGATAGTCCCATGGTGTCAGCTCATGGGACATCTGCAGAGACTGGCCATTGTGGCTCCCTTCTGACTCTGCATTCATGGGGAGTCCGCTGCCCAGAGCCCATATTAGGAGCCCTGGGGGAGGACGCATCCTGCCTGCTTTGCCATTTCCTCAGCCTGACTGGCAAGCAGCCTTTTTCCTCCCAGCCTCTACCCCGCCTACTGTGTTTCATGGCAGCATGGAATGGTAATGTTTGGACTTTGCCATTCAAAGGATTTGAAGGATATTTTTATCTTTCAAGAAGATTTGAATCAAAACAGTGAATCCAAATTATACAAATACTGATTAATTTTTAGATAATTTTCCAGAATGAATTTCACAAAGCCAACGATTAATTACTTGATCAATGTTCTGTGTAGCACACAGTTTTCCTTTTTATTTTAATGAACTTCCTTTAATGCAGTTTTTGAAACTATTACTTTATTTATTTATTCATTTATTGTTGAGATGGAGTCTCACTCCGTCACCCAGGCTGGAGTGCAGTGGCACAATCTTGGCTCACTGCAACCTCTGCCTCCCAGGTTCAAGCAAGTCTCCTGTCTCAGCCTCCCAAGTAACTGGTGTCTGGCTGATTTTTGTATTTTTAGTAGAGACAAGGTTTCACCATATTGGTCAGGCTGGTCTCAAACTCCTGACCTCAGGTGATCCACCTGCCTCGGCCTCCCAAAGTGCTGGGATTACAGGCGTGAGTCGCCGTGCCGGGACTGAAACTATTACTTTAATATCCTGCTGTAATGGTTCCACTAACATCCTCTGTTCTTTGGGTTTTGGTTTTTGTTTTTGAGACAGGGTCTTGCTGTGTCACCCAGGCTAGAGTGCAGTGGCACGATCTCAGGTCACTGCAGCCTCGACCTCCCAGGCTCAAGCTATCCTCCCACCTCAGCCTTCTGAGTAGCTGGGACTACAGGCAAGCGCCACCACTCCCGGCTAATTTTTGTATTTTTTGTAGAGATGGGGTCTCACCGTGTTGCCCAAGCTGGTCTGGAACTCCTGGGCTCTAGCGATCTGCCCGTCTTTGCCACCCAAAGTGCTGGGATTACAGGCGTGAGCCACCACACCCGGCTCATCTTCTGTTCTGCTGTGATGTGAAGTGCTGAGAAGTTCAGGTGTGTGCACCTAGGTCAGTCTTGCCTGGGGACTTCCCAGAGTTCGGATCTCTGGCTTGGGAGCCTCACCTTCTCCCTAACGTGGAAAGGGAACCTGCATGTGAAGAACATGATTCTGAGCCAGGCTCTGAGCTCAAACCTGGGTCTGCCTCCCTTGTCTGTGTGATTTTGCGCCGCTTGCTGAATCCCCTGAGCCTCATCTTTCTCACCTCTAAAATGGGAATAATAATATTACCTACCTGCTGACTCAGGAGAGCTGTTTGTATTATATAAGTATACTTGATTGTTGCGACAAACACAGTAACATTAAATAATCACTTGTGTGAAACTTCTATTCCCAGCACGTCATGGAGGCTCCGGAAGCGTCACTTACCCTGTCCCTGTCGGCATCATCATCGTCAGCATCGTTTAAGAATCAAGCCCTGTTTTCTTCTTCTGACCACTGGGTGGCTCCGCAGAATTGGTTCTGTGATTATCGCGCTCTCAAAGGCGGCCTTGGGGTTTGGGTGAACAGTATGATAATGCTGGTTTGTCGTAGGTCAAAAACAGCAAATTATCTGCAATGTCATGTGGTTCTACCTAATGCTTGCGGTGTCCCTGCCCTGGGCTGTTTCCCTTCGGCTTCATCTCAGCGAATCACGAACACATTCCACGGACTCACCTCCTTGGAAGCCTTTTGGATTCTCTGCGCAGCCCAAGCTGCCCGGGATCTGGGAGGCCAGGCTGAGTCTATGGCCCCGGAGCCCGCCCGGACTTGCCACTGGAGACCTGGGGCCAAGGGCCCATCCGAGCTGGGAAGAGAGGGCTAGAAAGAGAGCATTAGAATCGAGGGGCTGGGTGCGGAGGCTCACGCCTGTCATCCCAGCACTTTGGGAGGCCGAGGGAGATGGATCACCTGAGGTTAGGAATTCAAGAGCAGCCTGGCCAACATGGTGAAACCCCGTCTCTACAAAAATTCAACAATTAGCCGGGCATGATGGCGTGCACGTGTAGTCCCAGCTACTCGGGAGGCTGAGGCAGGAGAATCGCTTGAACCCGGGAGGCGGAGGTTGCAGTGAACCCAGATTGCACCATTGCACTCCAGCCTGGGCGACAGAGTGAGACTCTGTCTCAAAAAAAAAAAAAAAGAAAAAAAAAGAATTGAGGTCAGAGGGGGCAATCACAGGAGTTTGATTTGTAGAAGCAGAAGGCTCCCATTTTGTATTTGCTGAGCCCGGGAAGCATTTCCCAAGAAACTCAAAAGACTCGCCATGCCCCGCTGACCCTGACCTTCTGCTCCTTGTGTCTCCTTTCTCAGGAGCGCAGGGCTGGCTTTGGGCCTCCAGCATTGTGAAAGAAGTTGAGAAACATTAGAAAGATCTCAGATCATTCCCAGAATTGCCTAGTGAGTCTAATCGTGGTGTTGAGTCACCTGGAGGCTGGAGGGGGCCCCAAGCCCTACAGCTCCGGGCCTGAGGCGGGTCCTCAGACAGTCCCTGGGCTGAACTGAAGCTAAGCAAAGCTCTGCGTTCGCAGGGAGGTCCCCGTGGGCTCTTTGCCTGTGTCTTTCTAGCCAGAAGGTCCCAGGGTTTTCCGTATGTGGAGGAACTTGGGGTGCCAAAAACACAGGAGCACTTCATGAGCAGCTTTTTCTTATTTGTGCATTTATTTAACATTCTCTTCAGAGATAAGGGCACATATAAGTTTCGTTGTTTTTATGAATTTAAGGAATTTCCTTTTCTTTTCTTTTCTTTTCTTTTCTTTTTGAGACGGAGTCTCACTCTGTTGCCCAGGCTGGAGTGCAGTGGCACAGTCTTGGCTCACTGCAACTTCTTCCTCCGTGGTTTAAGCGATTCTCCTGCCTCAGCCTCCCGAGTAGCTGGGATTACAGGAATGCGCCACTGCGCCCAACTAATTTTTGTATTTTTAGTAGAGACGGGTTTCACCACGTTGGCCAGGCTGGTCTTGAACTTCTGGCCTCAAGTGATACGCCTGACTCGTGCTGGGATTACAGGTGTGAGCCACCGTGCCAGACCTAAGGAGATTTTTTTCTAAAAAGGTTACCTTCCAGAAATTTAAGAATGGTTTAATATTATGAAATCTATCAATGTGATTGATCATATTAATATTTAGCATATAAAAGAGAAAAATGATGTGATAATCCCCACAGATACTGAAAAATTCAACAGTTTATTTTTGGTAAACACTCTTAATAAAATAGGAACAGGTATATTTTCTTAATACGAAACAATATACTTATCTCAGTATAAAAGCCAGCATCATACTTAATGGGGACACAATAAAAGTTCTCCCAAACTTGAAGTCAAGAACAAAAGAGGTTTATCCATTTTTACAGCTATTACTTAATATTTTTCTGGATGTGTTAGCCAATATAATTTGACAAGAGGTAGAATATAGAGATAGAGAAATCAGAATGGAGGAAAAATTATTATTTTCAGATCAAAATAACTGTATACTTGGAAAACACAAAGGATTTTATTCAGAAATTACACACCAAATGCTGGTGAGGATGAAAAGAAATAGGAAGGGCCATTCATTGTTGGTGGGAATGCAAAATGGTATACAGCCAGTTTGGAAGAGAGTTGGCAGTTCCTTAGAAAACTAAACATGCTCTTACCACACAATCCAGCAGTCGAGCTCCTTGATATTTATCCAAATGAACTGAAAACTCAGGTCTGCACAAAAGCCTTATATGAGGCCAGGCGTGGTGGCTCACGCCTGTAATCCCAGCACTTTGGGAGGCCGAGGCAGGCGGATCACGAGGTCAGGAGATCGAGACCATCCTGGCTAACATGGTGAAACCCCATCTCTACTAAAAATACAAAAAATTAGCCGGGCGTGGTGGCAGGCGCCTGTAGTCCCAGCTACTTGGGAGGCTGAGGCAGGAGAATGGCGTGAACCTGGGAGGCAGAGCTTGCGGTGAGCCGAGATTGCGCCACTGCACTCCAGCCTGGGTGACAGAGCGAAACTCTGTCTCAAAAAAGAAAGCCTGTACATGAATGTTTACAGCAACTTTAACCATAATTGCCAAAACTTGGTAGCAACCAAGCTGTTCTTCAACAGGTGAATGCATGAACTCTGGTACACTCAGACTGTGGAATATTACTCAGCACTAAAAAGAAATAAGCTGTCAAGCTGTGAAAAGACATAGAGGAATCTTAAACACGTATTACTAAAGTGAAAAAAGCCCATCTGAAAAGGTTATATACTATGTGATTCCAACTATATGACATTCTGGAAAAAGCAAAACTATGGAGACATTAAAAAGATCAGTGGTTGTCAGGGGTTGTGGGAGAGAGGATGAATAGGTAGGGCCCACAGGATTTTCAGAGAAGTGAAACTATCCTATATGATACCACAGTGGTAGATGTCAGGACACGTCTCAACCCATAGAACGGGCAACACCAAGAGTAAACCCTAACGTGAACTGTGGACTTTGGTTGACAACGACGTGTCAACATAGGTTCATCGGCCGTAACAAATGTACCACTCTGGTGCAGGATGGTGGGGGAGGTGGTATGTGTGGCGAGGGTTTGGGGGCATGTGGGAAATCTCTGTACTTTCCACGTAGTTTTGCTGTGAACCTAAAGTTGCTCTAAAAAAATAAAATCTAGCCGGGCACGGTGGCTCGTGCTTCTAATCCCAACACTTTGGGAGGCCGAGGTGGGTGGGTTGCTTGAGGTCAGGAGTTCGTAACCAGCCTGGCCAACGTGGTGAAACCCCGTCTTTACTAAAAATACAAAAATTAGCCAGGCGTGGTGGCAGGTGCCTGTAATCCCAGCTACTCAGGAGGCTGAGGCAGGAGAATCGCTTGAACCCGGGAGGCGGAGATTGCAGTGGGCCGAGATCGCGCCACTGCACTCCAGCCTGGCGGCAGAGCGAGACTCCATCTCGAAATAAAAATAAAAATAAATAAATAAATAAATAAAATCTATTAAGAAAGTGTTACAATAATTCAGTAAAATTAAATTCAGTAAATTTACTGAATAATTCTGTAAAGTGTCTAGTTTGATATTAATATTCAGAAACTGTAGACTTTACATAAGTAAAGAACAACTAGTTATTAATAGAAAAACTAATGGAAGAAAGTTCATTTAAGTCCATTTACAAAAACAACAACAACAAAAGCAACAATGATGACACAAAATGAAACAATTTGGAACAAACTTAATGAGATACTTGAAACATATTTATGAATTAAACTTTCAAATTCTAAGAGATACAAAAGATAATTTAAATATATAGAAAGACATATCACATGCTAATTTTTATTTATATATATATATTTTAGAAACAGGATCTTGCTCCGTTGCCCAGGCTGGAATGCACTGGCACAATCTTGATTCTCTGCAGCCTCGGCCTCCTGGGCTCAAGTGATCCTCCTACCTCAGTCTCCGGAGTAGCTGGGGCTACAGGTGCACACCACAATGCCTGGCCATTTTTTAAATTTTTTTTTCGTGGAGATGGGGTTTCGCCATGTTGCCCAGGCTGGTCTCAAACTCCTGTGCTCAAGCGATCCACCCACCTTGGCCTCCCAAAGTGCCAGGATTGCAGGCATGAGCCACCATGCCCAGCTGAAATACCATTTTCAACTCTTGGTTTAGTAAAAATCACACTATCAGAGAGATGGGGAAATGGGTACTTTCTTATGTTGCTGGTGACTATAAACTGGAAAGCCTCTGAGTAGAGCAATTTGATGATATCTATAAATACAATTACAATAATTTTAAAAGACAATATTAGAATTTATATACATTATTTCCATTTACTCAGCATTCTTTTTATCCTGTATCTTAGATTGCTCTTCTGAGATCAATTTTTTTCTTTCATTAGTTCAACTTTCTTGATGACAAACTCCCCATTTTTGCCACCCTCAATCTTGAAAGATAGTCTTGCAGGGTTCATCATTCCAAGTTGACAGTTATTTTCTGTCAACATTTGCAAGACTGTATTCACTATCTTCTGACTTCTGTTGTGTCTGCTGAGAAGTTGGCTGTCTTTCTAACTGTTAACCTTTATGGGTGACTTGCCCTTTCACTCTGGTTGTCTTTAAGATCTTACCTTTGTCTTTTGCATTTTCATTTTCACTGAGATGTGTCTAGGTAAGGATTTATTTTTACTTATCCTACTTGGGATGCATTTTTGTTCCTAGACTTCTGATATGTTTTTCACGAGTTCTGAAGATGTCATGGCCATTATCTCTGTGAATATTTTATTTCCCTCATCCTCTCTGTTCTACATTTTTGAGGACCTGGCTACACATACATGTGCATCTTCACACACACACATCCTCACTTGTGCTTCCTTTATGTTTTTCTTCTATTTGTCTTTCAGGGTTGCAACTTTGGTAGCTTGTTAACTCCCAATTCCCTAATTGGTATTTTAAGATTTGTATGTTTCATTTCAAAAGTTTTTAAAAGCTATCTGTTCATTCCTGATAATCTCTTGTTGCCTGCTCATACATACATGCATACATGTACTTTTTAAACATAGATGTATCTTAAAATTTTTATTTGGAAATAACTTTAGATTTGTGGGAGAATTGTAAAGGTAGTATGGGTAGTACAGATTTCTTTCATGTTAACATCTTATGTATCCACAATATATTTACCAAAACTAAGAAATTAACATTGATATAACATTACTAACTGAACTGAAGTCTTTATTTGGATTTCTCCAGTTTTTTCACGAATGCCCAATTCTGTTCCAGGACCCCAGCCAGGATACTGTGATGTTCTCAGTCACCATGACTCCTAAGAGCCTTCTCTTCAGTGGTGCATTTCACAGGGTTCTAAAACACACTTTCAAACCAGCAGAAGGAAAGGGAAAAAAGTTAACAAAACATATGGTAAATAGGATATATAAAATAAGATACAAATAAGTCCTAAAGTAACAGTATGAATAATAACTATAAATAAAATGTCAGTAGCTAAATAAAAAGGCAGAAAATATCTAGGCAGAAACTCTTAGTCTTGATACTGAGAACTGTGAGGAATATACTTAAAAGGATAGAGAAAGACTGAAAAGAAACAGACAGATAAATGATATAGCAGGTAAATATGAACCAAGAAAGAGTAGTGATATTAACAGCTAAAAAATATAATTGAAGGTAAAACCATCATATTATCAAAGAGAGATATAGCATATGATAAAATGCACAAACACACACACACGCACACACATGCAAAACAATAGTCTTGAAAAAACTCTGAAGCAACAGCTGGCAGAACTGTAGGAAGAAACAGCCCAACAATTGTAGTTGGAGGTCTTGAAGCCACCTTCTCAGGAAGAGATAGTTCAATAGAAAAAGCAAGCGAAGGCATAGATGATTAGATTAATTTAGTTCATACCTTAAGAGTAAAGGTGGATCGGGGACGGGCGCGTTGGCTCACGCCTGTAATCCCAACACTTTGGGAGGCTGAGGCGGGTGGATCACCTGAGGTCAGAAGTTTGAGAACAGCCTGGCCAACATGGAGAAACCAAGACTCTACTAAAAATAACAAAAAATTAGCTGGGCATGGGGGTGGGCGCCTGTAATCCCAGCTACTCAGGAGGCTGAGGCACGAGAATCGCTTGAGCGCAGGATGCGGAGGTTGCAGTGAGCCGAGATGGCGCCACTGCACGCCAGCCTGGGCCACAGAGTGGTACCTGTTTGTCTATCTCCCAGATATGGAAGCCAGGATGGAATCCTCTATGAATTAGAAACACATACTAAAGTATGAATGGTTTTTAAAACGTAGTGTTAAGTGAACAATAGAGTGAGAAAGAGAATGCAATTTATTAGCACAGGACAGGGTATGTTAAAGACACACACACACACAAACATGCGTTTGACAACGATGCAAGGATACACATCAGACGCATTGCAATGGATGGCCGTGGTGGGGTGAGGGGGAGGTGGGGACAGGAATTGGGCCCAGAGATGAAGTGGGGAAGAGGAATGAAACAGGAGAAGGGCCTTGAGGCTGGTGCTGGCAATAAACTCTGAACTGAGGTGGAAGATGAGCCCAGCCCTGTACACACCTTCCAGTTACAGACGTGATTACAATCTTTCCTATCAGCAGAAAGGCCTGTGCGTGTGACCGTAGGTGTCATGTGGCCAGCAGGCAGCAGCTTCTCCCTAGAAAATCACAAGCTGGGGCCCGAAGACAGGTCTGGAGGCAGGGGCTGCACCTTCCTGCCAGGAGCGCGGTGTCAGTGGCCCTCCCAGCCCAGACAAAGTCCCCTCAAAGCTGGCCTCTCTGTCTTGGGGGAAGCATGGCATACTGGCCACAGCTTAGCTTGAGTTTCTGGATTTCTCAAGCAACAAGCTTGAAATCCCCAAGAGCAAAGTTCTCCAGGCTGGTCCCAAGGCTGGGTGATGTTTGTCTTTCCAGCTCCCTTTCCCATCTTGCCTCCTGTTCCCAGAGGAACATCTGTGTTGGGAGCAAGCGAAGCACAGGGATGGGCCACAGGAAATCTCAGAGAGAAACAGTCCCGAATGACAACCTTCAGGGCATCAAGGAGTTTTTTAAAAATATAAAGTTACCTAAGAACTTGGATAGACATTTCTCCAAAGAAGATATTCAAATGGCCAGTAAGTACATGACAAGACGCTCAACGTCATTAATCATTAAGGAAATGCAAATCCAAACCACAACGAAATACCACTTCACACCCATTAGGTTGACTATTATAAAAAAGAAAATAAATGTTAGTGAGGATGTGAAGAAATGGGAACTCTTGTGCCCTGTTGGTAGGAATGTCAAATGGCGCCACTACTGTGGAAAACAGTATGATGACTCCCCCCAGATTGAACATGGACTTTCCACAGGATGCAGCAATCCCACTTCTGAGTATATAGACAAGGACTTGAAAGCAGGAACTCAAACAGAGATGTGTATACTCATGCCCATAGCAGCACTGAAAAGATGGAAGGAACCCAAGTCCCCATTGACAGATGAATGCATAAACAAAATCTATATATTATATACATAGGAATATTATATATTACCTGTTTATATAATCTATAATATTTTAACCCTGTATAATATTCCTATATATAATATAATATGTAGAAATATTTACATAGTATATAAAATATTATTTTTATATTATTTATGTTATATATAATAATATATTATACAACATATTATATATTATATATCTACATATAATATATTATATATAGGAATATTATACAGCCTTAAAAAGGAAGGAATTTTTTTTTTTTTTTTTTAGAAACTGATTATTTTCCATCAACCTTATTTCCATGTTGCGTAAGAGCCTGTGCGAGAACAGCTTAGGACCATTCAGTGGTTGCTCCTACCCCTTCAGTGGCCTGAGCAGTGGGAGCTGCAGACCAGTCTTCCGTGGCAGGCTGAGTGCTCCAGTCTTCAGTAGGGAGCTGCTGAATAGGCACAGAGGGCACCTGCACGCCGTCAGGCCAGTCTGCAACCTCAGGCTGAGTAGCAGTGAACTCAGGAGCTGGAGCAGTCCATTCACCCTGAAATTCCTCCTTGGTCACAGTGTTTTCAGCAGCAGCCTGCTCTTTTTCAATCTCTTCAGGATCTCTGTAGAAGTAGAGATCAGGCATGACCTCCCAGGGGTGTTCACGGGAAATGCTGCCACGCATGCACAGAGCTTCCCGAGCCAGCATCCACCACATCAAACCCACTGAGCGAGCTCCCTGGTTGCATGGGATGGCAAAGTCCACATAGCACAGAGGAGAATCTGTGTTACAGAGCAATGGTGGGTAGGTTAACATAAGATGCCTCCGTTCTGAGAGGCTGCTGGTCAGCCCTGGGGTCAGTAACCACAAGAAGCCGTGGCTCCCAGAAGGCTGCCTGGATCTGGTTAGTGAAGGTTCCAGGAGTGAAGGGGCCAGCGATTGGAGTGGCTCCGGTGGCAGCAGCAAACTTCAGCACGACCCTCTGGCCAGTATTCCTGGAGGATATAACACTGACAGCAGCAGCGTTTTCAATGGCAACAATGGCACGAGCTGCCAGCAGAAGCTTCTTCCAGGTCCTCGTCAGATTTATGATGTAGATGCCATCACTTTTCCTTTTATAGACATACTGTTCCACCTGGAAGTCAAGATTGCTGCCACCTAACTGGGTTCCTGCTGCAAGGAACTTAAGGACATCCTCTTTCTTCATTTGCAGGACATCAAGGGCTCCGGACACTGTGAAAATTTCCCTTTAAATTACAGTGAGAATCCAGAACAATGCCGGATGGAACCCTCTGCAGGTAGCATGGAAAGGCAAAAGGAAGGAAATTCTGATACATGCTACAACGTAGATGAAACTTGAAGCCTGAGTTTCAAGGAGAATAACCAGTCACTAAAGGACAAATACAGTATGTATATCCCACTTAATATGAAGTGCCTAAAATGATCAAGTTCATAAAGGCAGGAAGTAGAATGGTGGTTGCCAGGAGCTGACGGGCTGGGGAAATGGGGAGTTTGTGTTTAATGGGTCAGAGTTTCAGTTGGGGATAAAAGGGTTCTGGAGATGGGTGGTGGGTGATGGCTGCACAACAGTGTCAATGCCACAGAACTGTACACTTACAATGGTGAAAATGGTGTATTTTATCACAATTTTTAAAAGTTGCCTAAGAAGAGACTAAGCAAAGCAGATGCATTTCAAAGCAGTCCCCACCCCTCTCCTTTGTGAAGTCTCAGAAGGAACCTGAAGTTGGAGTGGAAAGAAAGGAAGCCTGGCTGTTAATAAGTTCTTAGCCTCTGATGGAAATGAAACAGGAATAGAGTGAGGCCTCATGCGTTTGGAGTCCTGAGACTCTCCTGGGTGAGGGCAGATCCTGTTGTCCTCTGCTGAGCAGGATCCACCTCCTCCGTCTTTCTGCAGGGGGCCAGGCCTGGAAACAGGGGTGTACATGCTTGCCCTTGTGTACACACATCCGTCACATCCACATGGGGACCTGCCCGTGTGTTTGGAGTATGTTACACCATTCTCCACGCCTTAGTATCTGGGGCAGGTGGCGCTATTTTTCCCTACAAGTCACTCCTTCCTAGCCATACCCATGCTCTGCTGCAGGGCGAAGGAGCCTTCAGCCAGGAGGGCTAATGGCAGGGCAGGTCTTTAGGCAGAACAGCTCTCTGCTCTAGGTTACCCCCAGCAAGAGGAGGACGGGACCTCACACCCTGATGAAGGCTCAGATGAGCAGCCACTGCAGGCTGAAAAGTTTTGCTGTGGAATTCTGTCCTCTCAAAGATAAGCACAGTCCCCAGCCTGCCTCCAGCACTGGCGTGGCCAGCACTTTTGTTATCAGTGATGAGCCCTGCTCTGACAAACGCTGACCAGCCTCCTGCTCCTGGGGGCCAACTGGCCGGTGTCCTTGAGATGATTGTGGAGAACTGCAGCAGACGCGATAAAGGCAATTGCACCTGGACTTTGGTTCCAATGTCCTGGAGACTGCAGGCAGGCAGTCCAGTCAGGCCTGTGGCAGCACAGGCTTCCCAGCCTGGCCTGGTGGAGACTTGCCACCACCACCCTTTGGGGCTGACTTTGCCTTTGTTCAAATCCCAGCAAGTTCCTCAGTTCCTCACTCTCACAGCCTCATTTCCCAGTCCTGTAGAATGGGGATAATTCTAATAGCTCCCCTGCGGGGAGCTGGGAGGGAGAAGAGGAGGTCACACCTAAAGTGGGTAATTGATTGTCAAAATGTAACATTCCTGGGAAATGCTGGGGCCATTTGGCTTCCTTTCCAGCCCCCGATGGGTGGTCTGGGTTCTAGGAACCAGCAGCAGCTGGAGCTGGAGAGGGAGGAAAGGAGGAGAGAAAGTAGAGTGAGAGAGGTGGGGTCGGGCATGAGCACGCCCCGGTGGCACTAAGCCTGGTGCCCAGAGCCTGGTATTGGGAAAGCCAGCTTCTTCTCCCTCCCACGTGTACCAAAACTAGCACCAGAGAGAACTCTGAGCCCGTCTAGCTGCGGGTGAGACTCATCTATACCTGCTCCTTCACCTCTTCACCAGGGGAAGTTAAGCAGAGGGTCAGGGCACGCCTCGGGGCTGGGATAGTGCTGCCTGATGGTTTGATCTCTCTGGGTTGGCACGTCACCTGGACATCATCTTCATCATCTTCATATTAGCACTGGTGAGGGTAGGGAACAAGGGTTGTGGGGGAGGGGGGCAGAGAGCCTACGGGGTGTTCTGTGCCCAGCCCTGACCAACAGAACAATCACAAGCTGCTATGGGTTGAGTGGTGTCCCTCCCAAATTCCTGTGTTGAAGTTCTAACCCCCACCCACTGCCTCAAAATGGGACATTATTTGAAAATAGGGTTGTTTGAGATGTCATTAGTTAAGATGAGGTCATTAGGATGGGCCTTAATCCAGTATGACTGATGTCCTCCTGAAAGGGGGGAATTTGGGCACAGACGCACGAAGAGTGCCGTGTGAAGACAGAGGCTGAGTGTGGGTGGTGCTTCTGCAGGCCAAGGAACCAGCCCTGCTGACATCTTAGTGTCAGACGCCCGGCCTCCGGGACTGTGAGACGATACGCTTGCCGCGTAAGCCACTCAGGTTGTGGCACCTTGTTACGGCAGCCCTGGCAAACCAACACACACCCCCTGGGACAGGGGTCAGCCTCCGGACCAGGGACAGATACTGGCCAGCCCCGATGCCAACAGTGATCCTTTTTAAAATCAGCTCTGCACACCACGAGTTGCCAGGGAGGACCAAGCTCCTCAGTATTCCTGGAACTCCCCCGGGACCAGTCCAACTTCCAGGAGGCAAAACTAACGACTCATCTCATTCATGCGTTCAGCAAACACTGTCTGTGTTTGCTCTGCGGCAGGTGAGGCTGGGCACTGGGAATGTACTGGGCAGGGGCAGGCTCTATCCCTGCCCTTAAGGGGCTCGCTGGCAGCCTGGAGGGGAGACAGGCCCTTCCCAAATACAGACTCTTCATGGAGTGTGACAGAGAAAAGCTGGGCTGAAGGATGGCCCGGGGACCTCTGGTCTCTTTCCCTAGGGCAGCCTCCTTTTTCACGCATTCAAGACCTTTGAGGAATGAAGATCTTGGTTCTCAGGACAGCCTCTCACAGGTGGGAGGAAAGGTGCCTCTCCCAAGGAATGTGGGGTGGCTGGCTGTCCAAGTCAACCTCTGCAGGGCCTGGTGACCCTGCAGGACACAGCCAGCACCCACATTTTGCTGTGTGTGCCATCATCATTTTTCACCAGCACCCCTCTCAGAGAGACCCGAGGGAGCCACGAGCTTGATGATAATAGGGACAATCTCTTGTTTTACAGCTCTGTAAACCAAGGCACCAGGGCTCTGCAGAGATTGTGTGGCCAAACCCAGGCTGCCTGGCTGGTATCGGCACCTGCTGCTCTACAGACATGGGCTGTGAGCAGGGCTGAGGGGGATGACTTCTCCGGCCCGGCTGCGCCCCCCTGGGCACTGGAGCTCACGGGGACTAGGGCAGGGAGGCTGCGGGGATGGAAAGATCCCAGGCAGCTTCTGCCTCCTTGGAGCCACTATCAGTCTGCAGACCACCAGCCTGCCAAGGTCAAAGTTCACCACTCTCTCCCTGAAATGGATGTTATCCACAAGCTACCGGGCAAGGTCCAGTGTATCAGTGTGGCCTGATCATGTAGCGGCTCTGGTATCGGATTGCCTGGGCTTCAATCTGGCTTATTAGCCGAGTGATCTTGGGCAAGTTACCCGTTGTATTAGTCCCGTTCTCATGTTGCTAATAAAGACATACTTGAGACCGGGTAATTTATAAAGAAAATAGGTTTAATTGACTCACAGTTGTGCAGAGCTGTGGAAGCCTCAGGAAACTTACAGTCATGGCAGAAGGAGAAGAAAGAAGTGCTGAGCAAAAGGGGGGAAAGCTCCTTATAAAACCACCAGACTCAGGAGAACTCACCATCACGAGAACAGCAGCCCGGGGGGAACCGCCCTCATGATTCAATCACCTCCCACCGGGTCCCTCCCATGACTTGTGGGGATTATGGGAACTACAATTCAAGATGAGATTTGGGTGGGGACACAGCCAAACATATCACCTATCATCTCCAAGACTCAGTTTCTTCATCTGTAAACTGTGTCTTGAATACTGATACTTCATGATGTTGCTTTGAGGGTTAAACAATGAGATTTATAGGCAGGGCCTAGTGCACATAAGCCCACCCTCTAAGTGTCAGATATTCATATGTTTACTGGGATTAAGGTGTGGGCTTTGGTGCTCTGGAAGTGAATTCAGGGCCACCATTCACGGGCGACCTGATCTCAGGGCAGGTCACCACCCTCTCTGTAGTGGCCGCTGTGGGGCCCTGGCCAGTGCCCCTTCAGGGCAGAGGCTCTGGTTCCTGCAGCTTCCGGGAGTGTTGATGGTTTTGGTGGGGCCCAGCTGGGTTTCTCTCTGGGAGGTGCCCTCAGCTGAAGAGAACCACCTTGCTCAAGGTCGCCCCCATCTCCAAACCTGTGTCCATGAGGGCTGCCGTAGGGATAGAAAGGCCAGGCCCTCTTGCCTCAAGGCAAGATAACTCGGAAGGTTCACCAGCCGGGGCCTTCCTGGCTACTGCATGGCACTCACTCCTCTCTCTGCCCGTCCCGTGGCTTCTTACCCCCTGGCAGGCACTGTTTGTGAGAGCACTCCCTGAGAAGCCTGCACACAAATCTCCGTCCTCGAGTGTTTTCCTGGGAACCCAACCTGTGACAGTTGGTGCCAGGAAGGATCCTAGGAACAGACTCTAAAATGGGATCTTGGTGCTGCGTCCCCTGCCGGCCAGCTGGCAAGCAGGACCAGGCACATGGCTGTGGCACAGCTGTTCCCACTCGCCCGGCGGAGAGCGGGTGGGGAGCTGGTGGGAGGGATGTGCTGATGGAGGCTGGTCCCGCACACTGTGTCCTGTTACGCCACAGCCGGGAACCAGACCCTGGGTTCAAGTCCGGAGCTGTGATGGCTGCGTCCTCATCAGCAGGAAGCCCTGTCTCCTAAACGCTTTGGTTTCCTGAACTGTGAGGGGGTGAGGCGAGCTGATTGGCCAAGCTGATTCACCGCGGTCCCTTCCAGCTCTAGCATCCTACACAAGCCCGAGAACTAGGGAGAGGGGTTTGGGCGGGATGGGAGCGCCCTGGAGCCAACAGTGTGAATAAGCGAAGGGTAGTGGATGGAGGAGGCTGGAGGAGATCTTCTGGGGCCCACGCTGCCCGAAGCGGCCTGTTTCATCCTGGGCTCAGGCCCTCCCCTTCCTCCCCCGAGCCCTCCCAGGTTCTGATGCTAGGGCACCTGTCGCTGACCCAGCTGGGCCTGGATTTTCGTCTACTTTCCTCAGGATGCCCTTGTCTCCTAGACTTCCCTTTCTTCCTCCTGCGTCTGCCCCAGCCTGGCAGGAGTGTGCACTCAGGACCATTAGCAGTTGGGGAAGCTGGAGAGGACGTTGCTCAGGCACACGTTTGTGGGCTGTGGAGCCCTGAGGAGCCTCTGGGCTGTGGGTGCCTCCCTGCATCCCCTCCCAGCCAGCCCACAGGCAGGCACTCAGGGAAGACGTGGAGGCTCTGAAGGGCTAAGCGACAGCTTGAAGGCCACACAGCTGGTCACAGGGCCACATCCCCCACGTCCACATCCAGGACTGAGTAGCCCCAAGCTGCAGCTCCTTCCGCAGCCTCCTCAGCCTCCTCATTGAGGCCACCTGCGTTGTTCAGAGTTGAGAGGTGACATTGGGACTGTGCTTGGGACAGTGGAAGTTTTACTTTTACTTTTTGTTGTTGTTGTTGTTTTTGAGATGGAGTCTTGCTAAGTCGCCCAGGCTGGAGTGCGGTGGCGCAATCTCGGCTCACTGCAACCTCTGCCTCCCGGGTTCAAGCGATTCTCCTGCCTCAGCCTCCTGAGTAGCTGGGATTATAGGTGCCCGCTACCGCACCCGGCTAGTTTTTGTATTCTTAGTAGAGACAGGGTTTTGCCATGTTGGCCAGGCTGGTCTTGAACTCCTGACCTCAGATGATCCACCTGCCTTGGCCTCCCAAAGTGCTGGGATTATAGGCGTGAGCCACTGTGCCCAGCTCTTTTACTTTGTATTTGCTTGCTTATTTATTCATTCCAAAATGATATTGATTAGATATTTAAAAGGCTTTAAAATTCAAAACAAAGAGTTAAAGAAACTAAAATAAAGTTTAAAGAAAGTAAAAATTACCCCTTAAATTCCACCAACTGGAGCTAGTCACCGTTAACAGTTTGGTGAACAGATTTCCAGACAGCTCTGTGTGTGTGAGTGTGCGTGTGAGTTTGTATGTGAGATTTTATGATAATGGGATTATATACTGTTTCATAACCTGCTCTTTTTACTCAACAATATGCCGTGGAACTCTTTCCACATCGGTAAATGTAGCTGCACCCTTCATTTAACAGCTGTAGACCATCATCCATTGCATTCCACTGGGAATGAAGGTATGAACCGTGTTTCATTTACCCAACCTAATACTGGGCATTTAGGCTGTTTCCAGTATGTCTCTTATTACAAAAAACTGAGGCACGGGCACGATGACACCTCTGTCTTGGCCATTTGTCCAGCTGCTGTCTTAGGTCCATTTCAGCAGGTTGGTCTTCAAGAACAATCCCTACAGCAAGCAGGGGTACTGTGCTGCCTCATTGCAATGGCAGATCCTCATTTTCAGGAAATCCAGGGCTCCTCCCCAAGGGGCCAGGGCAGCAGAATCACACACACGAGGAGACAGCTTTCTCCTCGGGAAGTTCTGTGTGAGAGGCAGAGAGGGGCTCTTGCCCCGAGTCCATATCTAAAGTCGTGACTAGTCGTCCCCATGACAGTCTGCTCGGCTTCCTGCTGGAGTCTGGGGGGCCTGAGGACGGCCTGCAGCTCTGCAGGGGGCTCGGCTTTTCCTCCAGGAGGCAAGTGGGCTAAAGAAACTCGGGCCGAAGGCGGCTGGGAGGCCGAGGGCATCCCGGTGGGAAGGAAGGCTTGGCCTAGTGCCGCTGCTTCTCTGCAGGCCCCAGCACAGGAACTGAGACGGTGGGATCGAAGAAGTCAAGCTCACAGTTGGAAGGGGAGAGACCCACAGCCAGATGACCATAGGGGTGACAATTCTCATGCACTTGGTCAGGGGTGGATAATAAGAAAGGGGGTTGGGAGGCGATGGGGGTAGTTTCTCCATTATCAGACTGTGGCCTATATATTGGCCGGGTGAGGCCTTTTAAAAAAACACAGACTTACTTTATATTTACGAGCAGTTTAAAGAGCAGGCCAGTTGGGCAGAAGGTACAGAGATTTTTCCATCTACCTCCCGCCCCTACACAGGCACAGCTCTCACTACATCCTTCAGAGTGGTGCGTGTGTCACAATTCACAGCCCTTCCTTTACACAGCGTTGTCACTCAGGGCCCACAGTTGTCCCTCCGTGGATTTGGATTCATGTATCCATAACGACATGTATCCACCATTGTGTACACATTTGTAGTCAGCCTCCCTTTCTTAAAACTATGCCTTGCAGTGAAACTGCAACTCCCCTGCCCCTAACACAGACACACACACGCGCACGCACACACAGACACACGCACACACAGACACACACGCACACGCACACAGACACACACGCACACAGACACACACGCACACAGACACGCACACAGACACACACGCACACGCACACACAGACACACAGACGCACACAGACACGCACGCACACGCACGCACACGCACACATGCACAGAGACATGCACAGACACACATGCACAAACACGCGCAAACACGCAGACACGTGCACACACAAGCACAGACACACACAGACACACGTACACAGACGCACATGCACACACACAAATGCACATGCACACATGCACACACATGCACATGCACACATGCACACACATGCACATAGACACACAGACACAGACACACACGCACATAGACACGCACACAGACACATGCACACACAGACATGCACACACGCGCACATACAGACACAGAGACACACATACACACACAGAGACACACGCAGACACAGACACACACAGACATGCGCACACACACATGCGCGCACACATACAGCACACAGACACATATATGCAGACACGCAGACATGCAGACACACACGCACACACACATGCAGGTGCATGCACATACACACACACACACACACACACACAGTTTTTTGCCAAGGGAAGAGACATAGGTGAATGTATTTTACTGTTTTCAAAGGCAAGCTTTCCTCTCCACCCCTGCAGTGTGTCCCACGGTCACAGATTGGTTTACTGGGGCTACGGTGATTCCATCACAGGCTGGGCTTGGAGTCTGGAGGAGGCCTTCCAAAGAGGGCAGGAAGAGAAGGAGGGAGCAGGCAGAATCCCAGAGGCTTCGTGGTGGAATGTGGCCAATCGTCCTCTTTAACGGAGGCTCACAGGTGCCTCTGTGGAGGGTGACTGTTCTGAGCCGACTCACACTAGCTCGATCATGAAAACATCTGTTGCAGTCTCCAGTTAGTGCCTCTGCCCACAGATGGCCTTTGAAAAGTGCTTTTGGTGCATTCTGCCTCTGAGACAGTAGGCCCCCTCCCTCCCGCCTCCCTAGAAAGCTCACAGAACCGACAGGTGCTGTAAGGAATCCACACCAGGATAGGGCTGTGGCTGGGCCAGGGTGGAGGATGGTGTGGTTTGGGGCAGCCTGCATCTATTTTCTATTGTTTCATTCTTTACTGACAGTACCCTGCTCTTTCCTCTTCCCCAGTCTCAGACCTTGTACTCTGGAGGGGATGGCTCTGCCCCCAGAACCAGGGCTCTGCCACGTGACACAGGCCTAAGCTGGCCCACACATCACAGAGGTTGCCTCATGACCTGGTTGCCACCAGTTAAAAGGGCCTCAGGCTTCTCTCTTGAGGCAGCTCCAACCGGCCATCCCACCTAACTTACAAAACGTGTGGGGCCGGGAACGGGTCTGCAGAGATCCCCTGGGGCTTCTTCCAGGGACAAATGTGAATCCGAAGGTCGAAGTCAAAGAGATACTTAGAAACAATTCCCCTTTGGGATGTTAAAATGCTTCCAACAACTGGACTGAATATTGCAGACCCCTCAAATCCTGTGCTTCAAGGGTTCCTTTTGGCTGAACACTGAGAAGACCCCCAACCCCAGGTGTCACCTGTTCACAAGGTGACTTCCTGCCCCATCCCTGAAACCCTCCACTCATGCCCATCTCGGGAACTTTCAGCTGGGACCAGCTCTGGTTCTTGAATCTGAGCTACAGAAGGGCCTAAGGAGACCCTGGAGGCCTTCTGGGTCACCCCACAGATGAAGGAACAGGGCCCACAGAGCGGCCGTGACTTTCCCTGAGCCACACAAAGCCAAGACAAGAGCCTGGGAGCCCCAAGGGCCCATCTCGGGCTCTTTCCACTGTTACCACTTATATCAATTCAGAATGCAGCCAGCTGAAACAAGAGAAGACAGGAATCAGCTGTCAGGGAGTCTAGACTGTTCCAGGCCTGGGTGCTGCCACCTGAGCCGAACGCTTTTGTCTCTTTGCTCTGCTGTCCTGACCATGCGGTCCTTTTCCTTGTGCTTCTTGCTCCATTTTCCAGCGATCCTGTCCACTTTCCGGGCAGGAAGAGGGAGACGGGCTCCGGGGCAATGGGCTGTGCTAGCTGTTTGTTCCTCCTAAACAGCTGCCCTGAAACTTCTCAGGTTTCTTCAGCCAGAACCGAGTTGCCTGGGCACGCAGGAGTGAGTATTTGTACTTGGGCACGCTGCCACCCGAACAAAACTGGAGTCTGCTAGACAGGAAGAAGGGGAGAAGACCAGCAGCAGAGTCTGCCACAAGTTGTTGGATGGGGATCTTGGCTAAGGATGCCCTGCCCGGTAAACCACCAGGCCCTTCTCTTCAACCTCCAGCGACCCAAAGACTGACTTCAGTAGAGCAGATAACATTTGTTTTTTCTGTAGAGTTGGAGGTTTCCAGGGACATCAGAAGCTAGGAAGGAGGAAGGGGGGTATTCCGACCACGCACCACCTTCACATGCTGATCTCTGAGTTCTCTCCTGTTCTCGAGGGCCCTGCTCGGAATTGTGAGGGTGGGGAGTGCAGGGCCAGAGGGACGGGGGAGCCGCATGCTGGGAAAGGGTGAAGTCAGAATGCCATTCTACCGACAGCCTGCGTGCTCGGAGACCCGGGCCAGGCGCTGAGGCACCTTCCCGCACATTCCACCCCTCCACATGGAGCCCACGGGGGCCACGGACACAGACCTGGCTTGTCTTCCAGGCTGGGCCCAACTTCCTCCATGAAGTTCCCTGGTTAGGGGGAACCACTCACCCTTCCCACCCAAGCCCTGGACACCTTGGGGCAGGCACCTGTTAATGCGCTCATGGGGTGTGAGCTCACATTGCCCTGAACAGTGTTCTTCAAAGTGAGGTGGCTTGACCGGCAGCATCAGACCACCTGAGAACCTGCCAGGCTGGGGTGCAATGGTGCAATCATAGCTCAGAGCTCACTGCAATCTCAAACTCCTGGGCCCAACCAATCCTCCCCTGTCAGCCTCCCGAGTAGCTGGGATCACAGGCAAACACCACCACGCCTGGCTAATTAAAAACACTTTTGTGTCTGTGTGTGTGTGTGTGTGTGTGTGTAGAGGTTGGGCCTATGTTGCCCAGGCTGGTCTTGAACTACTGGCCTCAAGCAATCCTCACATCTCAGCTTCCCAAAGTTCTGGGATTACAGGCGTGAACCACCATGCCTGGCCAATATATACATTTTTAGAGATGGGAGTCTCACTATGTTGCCCAGGCTGGCCTCAACTCCTGGGCTCAAGCAATCCTCCTGCCTCAACCTCCAAGTAGCTGGGACTACAGGCATACACCATTGCACCCAGCTTCGCAGTCTATGTTTTAATAAACCCTCAGGTGATCCTCACATACGCTCAAGGCGAGAAGCTTTGACGTATATGACTCTCCGCTGTGAAACCCAGCTTCTGGCTTGTTAGCACCAACGCAGAGGCAGCTGAGAAAGGCAGAAACAAAAAGAGCCCACCCGGCCCCTCTCACTTCAGCACAGGCAACAACCCCGTGAAGACTCAGATGTGTTTTAGTCTAAGAATTACTGTTAGAGCTAGAAATCGTCGAGGCCCCATACCCGCTTCTCAGTTTATAGATTTGGGAACTGAGATGGGGAGAGGAGAAAGTATTGGCCCAGGGTGAATACCAAAGTGGAATGAGAATTCAAGTTTCCTGAATCTTAGGTGAGTGAGCTGGTTTTTATTCCACAAAATTGGAATATCTTTTTTTTTGAGGCAGGGTCTGGTCTGGAGTGCAGTGGCACCATCACGGCTCACCGGAACCTCCACCTCCCAGGCACAAGTGATCCTCCCACCTCAGCCTCCCAAGTAGCTGGAGGTACAGGTGTGGGCCACCACACTGGGCTAATTTTTTTAAAAATTGTTTGTAGAGATGGGGTCTCACTATGTTGCCCAGACTGGTCTTAAATTCCTGGGCTCAAGCGATTCTTCCACCTCAGCCTCCCAAAGGGCTGGGTTGACAGCGGTGAGCCACCACACCCAGCCTAATTAATATATCTTTTTAAAAAATTGTAGCATTTATACCTATTGTAAATGTTGTGTGAATCTTTTTCAAGAATGTTGTCCTGAGGAACACATCCTCATTGTAAACAGTCAAGAACACCTGGGGAGGAGTCTGAAGCTGGGGGTGACGGCTTGTGCCGTGTGGGCCACAAGGCCCTGTCTATCCTGTCACTGTCCCTCCTGCACAGCAGTGTTCTTCTACCACACCACCTCGGTGGCCTCTCCAAATGAGACCAAGGGGGGCAGGGCTAGTAGGCCGTGTACTTACTTCTTTGTACCTTCCAGAGCGCTGAGCACAGGGCTGTGCACACAGCAGGCTGGCCGACCCCAAGCACTTGTGGGGCCTAGGACAAGAGTACCAACAGAGGCCCGCCTACCATGTGGCTCCACATTAAATGTTACAAATCAAGCTAACAAGCTATTAAAGAGAATGTGTCCTGTCCTCCTACTTTGACAAACAAACCTTTATAAAGACTCAGCAGCCTAGAATAGGAGCTGCGGACAGAACAGGCTTCCCCGCCATAGCCCACCCGCTCTCTTCCCATCCAGGCTGCAACCCACGCTTCGAGGGCCTTGCGCATTGCAGAGGACACGGCAGCCTGCTCATCACGCTCAACTACACCTCCTGCGAGAGCTTTGGCCACCTTGGGAGGCAGGATCTAGGTAAGGGGCCCTCCAGACCCTGGAAGCTGGCTCAGGGCTGTTTGAGGTATAAAGTCCAGGATCCCAGGTATCTGGAACATGGTGTGAAAAATGGGCTCTGGGGCCAGGTGCGGTGGCTCATGCCTGTAATCCCTTTGGGAGGCCTTTGGGAGGCCGAGGTGGGCGGATCACGAGGTCAGGAGTTCGAGACCATCCTGGCCAACATGGTGAAACCCCATCTCTATGAAAAATACAAAGAGTAGCCATGTGTGGTGGTGGGCGCTTGTATTTCCAGCTACTTGAGAGGCTGAGGCAGGAGAATCACTTGAACCCGGAAGGCGGAGGTTGCAGTGAGCTAAGATTGTGCCACTGAACTCCAGCTTGGGCAACAGAGCAAGACTCCGTTTCAAAAAAAGAAAAGATGACCCCTGAGTGAACGCATCCCTTTTCCCTGTGATTGCTCCCTCTGTGGGTGGGGTGTGGGGTGTGGTCTGGGGGAGGCCTCTGAAGGCTTGCTTCTCAAAGTGTGGTCCCTGGACCACCAGCACAGGCACCACCTGGGAGCTGGTCTGAACTGCAGACTCTCAGTCTCATGCTGGCCCTTCTGAACCAGAGTCTACATTTTAACAAGATCCCCAGGCAGTTAATGTGCACATCAAGGTCTGAAAAGCACTGCTTGAAAGCACAAAACCGAGGACTAGAATCCCTCTTGCCTAGGTCTAGGGGTGGTACTGACAAGTAGGTATCAGTAAGTATTTGCTCAACAAATGGCCAATAGCCCTACAACAGGCCTGGTAGCCATGGGGGTGCTGGGGCATGGCTGCCTGACTCACAAGGATTTCATTTCCTTTTTCTGGGGCCTCGGTGGCCATGTGTCCGCTATACACCCTGCTTCTGGCCTGTGCTGACTGGTCCAGTGGTAGATGCCTGACGCACACTGGGCCAATCAGATGATCTCTCCCAGGAATTCCAAATTGAAGACAAGAAAACAGGCTCTGGAGTAATAGCAGTAGTGACAGTGAACATCCTTCCTGCACCCACCGTGTGCCAAGCACTGTGCTGAGTGTTTTGTGTCTTAGACTCTATGCCATGTGCCAAGCACTGTGCTGAGTGTTTTGTGTCTTAGACTCTATGCCGTGTGCCAAGCACTGTGCTGAGTGTTTTGTGTCTTAGACTCTATGCCGTGTGCCAAGCACTGTGCTGAGTGTTTTGTGTCTTAGACTCTATGCCGTGTGCCAAGCACTGTGCTGAGTGTTTTGTGTCTTAGACTCTATGCCGTGTGCCAAGCACTGTGCAGTGTTTTGTGTCTTAGTCTCTATGCCGTGTGCCAAGCACTGTGCTGAGTGTTTTGCATCTTAGACTGGATCTTCACAACCACCTCACCAAGCTGGTGATCGTACTGTGTGTTTTTCAGATGAGGGGCTAGGGTGCCCAAAGGTTAACTTTCCTTTCCAGAAGTTCAGGGTAGGGAAGTGGTAGCATGAGGCGAGCTGGAGTGACTGTGCAGCTGAGACTCGTCCATGTGATGCAGAGACAAAGTCGGTCAACTCTGGCCATCCAGGTCCCCAGGAATTGACTGGCTTTGTGATAACTGAGCCGACTTCATGGAAAATGGCCTGTGTGCAGTGGTGGGCAAGACCTGGCTCTGGGAGATGGCCACAGCGGCGAGGGGTGGTGGTGTGGGGGCCAAGTGAAGCCATGAGAGAGGGAAGCAGAGAAAACCTCCCCTTCCAGAGGGAGAGCAGAGCACTGATGAAGACCAGCCGGGCCCACCCCCACCTCAGTAGATACCACAGAGCACCCACTGTAGGGTCTCTGGGAGATCCGCTCCCCACGCCCCCCTCCAGTGAGTTAGCAGCGAGCTTGCCAGAGAAAAGATGTGGGCCGCTTATTTTGGAGGTGTGGGGCAGGGGGCAGCAGAGAAGTTTGCACCCTTCTCTGCACCCATCCACAGAAGGGCAGACACCCCAGAGCCTGATGGGGTGGAGGCAGCTGGAATGTGCCAGGGCAGCGGAGGCCCTGCAAGAGCCAGAGAACCAGTCCAGGTCGAAGAAGGGCGCGGGGGGCCTCACTGACTAGAGGATGAGAGTGGTCCCTGACTGGCTCTTGGAGAATGGAATCTGCCCTTCTCGGTGGAGCAGGTAGGCCTTTGAGTGCCTAACAAAACGAAAGAAATCGGCAGCAGAAGTTTCTATCAGGGTCCAAGCCTCTGCATGTGCTGGCTTGTTTGGCTTTATTTTAGAAACCAACCAACATGTTTCATTAGCACTGACACAGCAGGGGTCCCCTGCTGCCACCTGACAATCCAGCGTCACTTACACTGCACCCACGCAGGCCACACCTTCAATGGCCACGGCACGCTAGCCCAGAGTTAGCCACACAGAAACACACTTCTCACCGCACAAAACTCCCTTTTGAAAAAACCAAGCAATCGTCAGGTCGGAGGAGAATCACTAGCCCCCCACAGCGAGAGGGGACAAAGCTTGGTGGCCGAGGCCCAGGTCCTTGTGGCCCCTCCCGGTGGGGTGAAGGTGCCCGGGACTCCTCGGGGTTGCATGGCTACAGCCGGGGCGCTGCCAGGGCCTCCTCTGCGGCTGAGAGATGGAAGGGATCCTTCCCGACGCCCGCAGGTGGGGGCGAGCCACCGGGAACCGGGCCTGTCACCAGCATCCCCGAGCCCCCGCAGACCGGAATGCAAATGGCTCCGCGCCCACGCGGCTCCCGGTCTGCTGACGAGGGCTGCCTGCTCCCATTTCTTCTCTTCCTCTTCATTTTTTTTAAGGGCTGCCAGTTCTGGAAACTTTTTCTGGCTTCTCAGACAACTGTGGCAAGATGGAGTAGAGAGAGGCCCCGGCCGGGCGCTTTCTGCTGCCTCGCGGAGGGGCGGGCACGGGGAGTGAGGGGTCCCCAGGCCCAGCGGGTGCGGGGCCGGGTGAGGAGACGGAGCTCACCCCCGTTCGGAACCCAGAAGCATGGCGGGTCCCCACGCGCAGCCCTTCAGGGGCCTCGGGAGCCCGCGGCCTGGGTCACCTCCGGCTCCCTTCAGGCGGGGGGCGGCTGCTGCCGCCAGGCTCGGGCGTGGGTGCGGGCGGTGGGCATCCCACGGGGGTAGGGGAGGCGAGAGCCTGAGGAGACTCGGGAGGGGGCCCGTGGACGCGGCTGGCCCGGGATGGAGCTGGCGCGGCCACAGTGGGGGACGAGGCAGGGCACGCGGCGTTCCCCGGGCTCGGCCTCCCTCCCAGCGCACGGGCGGTCGGAGGAACTGGAGCCCCCACCCCGGACACGGTCCCGCGGGCGAAGGCTTCTCCCCGTCGCCCCGGTCCGGCCTCCCTCCCGCCGCCGCCAGCAGAGGCCGCTGTCCCACGCGCCGGGTCCCGTTGGCGCCGGGGCCTCCTGGGACGGCCTGGCCGCGGCCTGCGGGTGTAGGCGCCTCGGCGGCCACCGCGTCCCCAGGGGGCCTCGCGGACGGGGGCGCGGGGCTGCGGGGAGGAGGCGGGCGGGCCCCTCGGGCGACACCGCGGGGCGGGCGGCGGGAAGCCCGGACTCAGCGGTTTCCTGGGCAACCGGCCTCCTCCGGCGCGGCCCGCGCGGCTCCAGGTGGCGGGAGGCGGCGGTTGGCGGGAAGGGCCGCGCGGGCCCGGGGGCGGCGCCTCAGGTAGCAGCGCCAGGTGGCGCCCGTGGGCGGCGGGGCTCCCGGGGAGGCGCCTGCTCCCGCCCACGCCGGGCCCGGCCTTCGCGAGCTTCCTTCTGGATTCCAGCGCGAAGCCGCCGCGGAAACTCCCCGGGCGGGCATCGGAGCTCTGGGGCGGGGCGGCCGGGCTCAGAGGGCGGGCGGGAGCAGGCGGGCGGCGAGGGCGGGCAGCAGCAGCGGGAGCAGGGGCGCCCCGGGCGCCGGGGCCGCTGGGGACGAACGCGGCGGGTCAGGCCCCGAAGCCCGGGCCGCGGTGGCCGCCTCAGGCGCCCGCTCTGGGGTGGGGGTGGGGGCATCTTTCGGGACCGAACTCGCCGCAGCCTCCCTCTTTGTGCTCCTTTCCCCTGCTGCCCTTCCAGATGCGCTCTTTCCAGAAAGGCAGCACACGCATGTCTCTGCCGTGGCCCCAGATCCTCCCCGCGCCGCCGTTTTGAGCGTTCACACTCATTACCCAGGTCCGTCTGGGAGACCCGCCGGGCTCCCGCCCTCCCGGCCCGCAGCCTCCTGGCCAAAATCCTCCCGGGACACCCCACCTGGACTGCTGCGAACGGGCCTCCACCCGCCTCCCCGGACCCGCAGCGCCCCCCGCTCCCTCAGGGTTCTGGGGTGAAGGGGTCTGAATAGCACCAGGGGAGGCGGCAGGGCGGGCCTGTCCTACCTGCGCCCGAGCACTGCTGAGACGACATCCCTTCCAGCGCCGCCACGTAGTCCAGCCCCAGCCAGCCGCGGTAGGTGGTTTTCTCTCCGACAGGCACCGCCCGGACGGTGGCATCCTTGAAAAGCAGGTCTTGGCCATGATAGTTGGAGGAGTCGAACATTTTGAACCCGTTCTTATTGTGGTCGTCTCCAAACAGGTCCTGGAAGCACCGCAGGCAGACGACCTGCTCCTCACTGGGCTCAGGCAGGGTCACCCGCCCAGTGCCGCTAGCTGCAAATTGCTTTACATACAGTGACCCAAAGAGCAAGTCATTTCAGGGCCCCACCACTCTGATTGGAAGTCATAAGCTTGACAACTGATTGGCCTCTGTCACCCAAGCGGGTGTGGGGACACTAGGCCCGCAGGTGCCACTGGAAGAGGCGTTCAGAAGCACTGCGGTGCTCCAGCTCCTGGATGCAGGTCTGAGGCCTGAGATGTCCAGGAAGAAAGACCCAGAAATGAGGGATGGTGTGGGTGGGATTCCTGAGCGTTCTGCTAGGCCTGCTGAGCACTTCTTGGCCTTTTCCATAAGGCTTTCTCACTCTGTCTTACAGATATCTCCCCACAAACCTAAACAATTTCGAGAGGGACTTGTGTTCTGCAACCAGTCACAGAATATCAGGTGAGCTGGGCGTGTCTTCACTGACCCACCCGCCCAGGGATGCTGCACTCCTCTCCACCCTGCTCAGAATCACTAGAATGACCGTTCTGTGGCTACAGCCCTAAAAGAGCTACTAAAAAGACCAGAAGTAGTATGAGAACTTATGAATACGAATATAAATAAAGGACATCTGGAGAACATGCATGAATGTCTATGTAAAGTGTTAAGTACTGATCAAGGAGGAACGAAGGAGTCAGGTGGCTCTCAGTCTTTTTGGAGGGACTCGCAGATCCTCCTGAAGATCTGATGAAAGCTGTCAGCCTTCTCCCCAGAAAAATGCACATCCACCCAGGATTCTTCTCCCACATTACTTCAGAGGACTTAGCAACCCCCTAGGGAAGCCCAGGGACCCAGAGTAAAGCACTCCTGGGATAGAGGGGTTCTGTGGGGAAGATGACAGGAAGGAACATGCGTCAGTTCACAATGTCAAAGTTTAGGAACAGGCCTGGCGAGCCAGCCAGCTCTGCAGTTCTGTGGTGCTGGTGGGTGTGGAGAAGGCAATTTCAGCATAAGTCGGGGGAGGGGGAGTGGTTAGAAACCAGTGGCTCCATTGTGAGACAACCTGGGTTTAAATTCTAGGTATATTTTGAAAGCACAACCAATGGGATCTGCTGATAGATTGGCTGTAGAGCACGAGAGGAAGACCGGAGTCAAAAATGACTCCCGAGGAAATGGAAAAGCTAAAGTTGCTCTTAATTGAAGTGGGGAAGACTGAAGGAGGGACGGGGGTCCAACTTTGGACTTGATCCATTTGAGATGACTGTTAGAAACACAAGTCAAAATGTCAAGTATGTAGTTAAATATGCAAGTTTGGGACTGATGTCTGAAGATGTAAATTTAGAAGCCATCTGTATATAGATGGTATTTGATGACATGGGATTGGATGAGATCAAGGGTAAGCTGTAGACAGGGAAGAGGGCTGAGAACTGAATCCTAGGGCTAACAGGTCAGGGAGATGGGGAGGAAATCAGCAGAGAAGACTGAGGAGTGGCCAGAGAGTGAGAGGACAGCCAGGCAGGGCTGAGGACCTGGGCATCTGCAGGGGAAGGTGTTTCCAGGAGGAGGGAGAGCTGTGGCCAGTGCCACTGAGAGGTCAAGTAAAATGAAGACTGAGAAATGGCCACTGGGTTTAGCAACATGGGTCACTGTGACCTTGACAAGAACAGCTTCAGGGCCCTGGTGGGAGCCTGTCTGGGGTAGTCTCCATCCTTAAGAGGGGCCAGAGGAGAGGACTTGCTAACTCAGTCTCCATCCTTAAGAGAGGCCAGAGGAGAGGACTTGTTAACTCCAGAGCAGACCACTCTTTGGAGGAGTTTTGCTTCGAAAGGGAGCAGGATTGGCCGGGCACAGTGGCTCATGCCTGTAATCCCAGCACTTTGGGAGGCCGAGGTGGGCGGATCACGAGGTCAGGAGATCGAGACCATCCTGGCTAACACGGTGAAACCCCTTCTCTACTAAAAAATAGAAAAAATTAGCCAGGCATGGTGGCGGGTGCCTGTAGTCCCAGCTACTCAGGAGGCTGAGGTGGGAGAATGGCGTGAACCCGGGAGGCGGAGCTTGCAGTGAGCCGAGATAGTGCCACTGCACTCCAGCCTGGGGCGACAGAGTAAGACTCCGTCTCAAAAAAAAAAGAAAAAAAGGGAGCAGGATTACAGCTGCAAGAGGATGGATGTGAGACCAAGAGGTTAGTTTGTTCTTTAAGGATGGCAGAAGTCACAGCATGTTTCATGTTGGTGAAAATGGTCCGACTGAGAAGGGAAAATCAACGATGCAGGAGGCAGAGGGGACAGTTTCTGGAGGGATGTCCTTGCGTAAGTGAAAATCACAGAATTTCCCCCGGGCTTCCTCAATTTCTCTAGAGGTCTGCTCCAGGTAGACTGAGGCCTCCCAGGGGCTCAGCTTACCTCTGCTGCACACCCCTCAATGAGGTAGCCCCACCCTGGCTCACCTGGGCCTTGTCCAGCAGTCCATACACGGTGAAGATGTTGGTGTCGGGCCGGACCATCACGGCGTGGGGTGGTATCTGTGCCAGGTTGCAGGCTGCAAACTGGGACACCTCGGCTCGGGCCCCGTTGGGGCACAGCAGTTCATAGTCCTCTGACCTGAGCTCAGCAGCCCAGGGCTCGGAATTGTGGCCTGAGGGGGGTAAAGCAGTGTGTGTGGGGACGTTCCGGGAGTGGAGAGAAGTGTAAAGAGAAGCTGCTATCCTGGGACCCCAAGGCCTTCACCACAGGGAGGTGGCAACATCTGGCCAGCTCCCCAACCCTCTCCATTCTCCACGTGCTCTGCTGTGTTACCGGGGTGAAAGAACCCAGCTGTGTTCATGCCATTAGCAGGAGCTGCCATTAATTAGCAGGGAGTAGGGAGTACCTACTATGTGACAAGTACTTTACACGCGTTGCTTGATCCCCACAACAGTAACGCAGGGTAGGTGTTTTTGTCCCCATTTTACAGGTGAGGAAACTGAGGCTGTTAATCACTCCCAGGCAGAGAACCCCATCTATGTGTTACATCCTCAAGCCTGAGTGTGGGGTGGCTCCCTGAAGGTGGTGGGTGATTGTCCCTAAGGGCTGAAGTTCTCAAATGGAACAGGGTATAGCATCACTTGTGGATGCAGAAGGCAGCTTCAAGGGCCCTTGCTTGCAAAGAATCTTATTCAGGAGGTCTCAGATCAGGCTCAAGAATCTGCATGTTAAACCAGCATCCCACTGATTCTAAAGCAGGCGGTCTCGGGCTGCCTGAGAAAATGCTGCCCTCAGGAATCACATTTTCATGTCTCTGTGCATTCACTTAGTATCCATCCTCCTCCCATTTCCAGGAAATCCAGGTGGGCCTTGAGGAGAGCTAAAGATAAAAGGGAAAGGAGTGGCCCTGGGAGGCGGGTGACTCACTGCAAGTGAACCTCCCAAGGCCTCTCCAGCACCTGCCCGCCTCCCCTGACCCCATCCCAGACGACACCATGCACAGATCTGGGACCAGGCAGGCCCGCTGGGCTCGTGCAGGAGCACACAGCCCCTCCCTGGGGGAGGGTTTCAGGTGTTCTTGGTAGGAGGCTGGGTGGGGGAGCTGGGCTGTGGCAACAGGAAGGGTTCAGGGCCTGGAGCCCTCCCTAGCTCTGCTGGGGCAAATGGTCCTACCGCCTTGGTGACCCCCATAGGAGGCAAGATCCAAGTTTTGAAACACTAACTGAGGTTTTCGTTTTTTTCCCTGCACGTCTTGCTTCCCATTGTCCAGTCCCCTCCCCACCGGGCCACAGTTGTGCCTTTCTGGGCTAAGTCTATAGGAGGAGACATGTTGGGAGCGAGTGGAGAAGACTGGGCCTCCAGCATTTGGGGTTTCAAAGCCTGGGGTGTAGGCAGGGTATGCAGACAGTACAAGCCTTTGGTGTTGGAGGAAAACAGCCTCTAGTCTTCAAAACGGACACAGATTCCTTCACGGAGAACAAGAAGAAGGGGAAGTGATATAAGTCAGGGGAGCGTGTGCTCTGATAGGACCATGTATGTACTGGGGTCCCGGAGCAGAGCGTTCCTGAGCTCTTTGTCCCAGGCGGAGCCCAGGAAGGTGACTCCAGGAAGAAAACCCCCTGTGTGGTATGTTGGGCGTGCCCTGCCTCGGTGTGGCTTGGGGGCTGCAGAGAGATTTCCTTGCATGAGGCAGTGACCTGCTCAGGAACACAGACCAGATACTGATTGAACTCATGACCCTGTGGAGAGGCTCATGCCACTCCCACCTCACACCTTGGCACTACATCAATACTCCCAGAAGGGGGTCTTTCCAGATTGACTGGGATTGAGTTTCTACCGTTTCGGTGGATTAGGGACTTGAATTCCAGGCCAGTAAAAACCGTCATGTATCCAGCACCCCTGGATGTGTGGTCTGAGGTCTGTTCTTACCCTGTGACCCTTGGGGCTCCCAGCTTCCCAGGGGGCACAGCCTTCTAGACTCAGCCTCTCTGAGCTGCTGCTTGGCCCCAGCCCAGCATGGTGTCTGGATGGTGCTGAAGATGGGGAACAGTCCCCCCGACCTACCTTTGGCCCTGCTCTTGCCCCCACCTACCGTTTGTGTTGTCAAAGACGGTTGTGTGCCTGACGAAGGCAACGTCACCCGCATTCTCCACCAGGCACCTGCCACACAGAGGGCAGGGCAGGCGTCGGCAGGAGGGTCCCAGCCTCTGCACACAGCCCCAGACTGCCAGGCCACCCGGGTACCTGAAGGCGCCGCGGTAGCCGTAATACCGCTCCTGGCTGTTGCCCACACACTTGTTGCGGCCCTGCTCGTCCCCCACGCACAGTGCACACAGCGAGGAGGGGTAGTTCTTGGGGTTGTTCACGGGCACGCAGCTGGCATTGAAGAACTCGCTCACTGCTGGGGTGGAGGGAAGGGCAATGATGAGGGGCCAGCAGTGGAAAGTGTGGGAGGGAGCTGGGCGGGCCGCTCCCCCACAGGTCTGCCCACCCCCCGGATCCTACACTGCAAGGCCACCTGTCTGCTCCGCTCCCCTCAGCTCTGAGTGGAGTGTCTCCTGGAGGATCTCAGTGCGGGGAATGCAGAGGTTGTCTAGATACAGCATCTCCATCACCAAACATCACCCAGCCTTCACTTGAACTCCCTCAGGGACAGGGATCTCACTACCTCACTATTTTGTTCCAATCAGAGCAGGTGTCCAGCTGTCTGGGAGTGGGAGCTGCCAACCCTAGTGCCCTCTGTGTGCTTGTGTCAGTGGTTAGAAAAAAAAGTGCTTGTATGTTTTCTGAGTTAACAGCCAGGACAGAGGTGTGTGGCCTGTCAGCCCAAGGGTCTTGCCAGTTTCCATGAATATTGTGTGATCTAACACACTGGAGGGGCTTCATGTATAGCATATGGTGGGTCCTTCTGTCCCCAGCTTATGGAGATACCTGGGCACATATGCAGAAGCCTGGCCACCTTCCAACAAGGTCCTCTCCCCAACAGGCTGCGGGTCCCTAGCTAACCCCAGAGAAGGCTTCCCCAGTCTGCGTTCCTAAAAAGGGGGGGGTACCTGTGAGGACGTCACAGTCCTTGGGCCGGATGAAGCCTCTCTGAATAAGGGCACCCACGGGGACATCCCAGCCTGCAGGGCTGCCGAAACCGGCGTGGCAGGAGCGCTTGCCCCGAAGCTCATCCAAGGTGAAGGCGTGGGAGCTGTCCCGTCTCACCACGGCCACCACGTAGTACGAGTTGCTGCTGTCTTCCGCTGGGGAGAGAGGGACTCACGTGAGGGGCCCCTCATCTGAGAGCCCGGGCAAGTGCCTGGGGGGGTCCTTCCTTCAAACCCACTCCTTCCTGTCTCTTTGCCTGAGCTATGCAGGCCAAAGAGTACCCAGGCCTGAGGCCAGGGTGTTCTGGGAGCAGGCCCAGCGGGGGCCCCTGCCTGCGTCCCCTGTGAGAAGCAGCCTCTTGCCTCCACTTTCCAGCCTTGTCTTCCTCTGGCCCCAGCAGTCCTTCCCCACAGGGGCTTCTTTCTTTCCTTAAACCCAGGTGGTATTTTTCTCACTACCCAGGAGGAAAGTGGAGGCGCAGCTGAGGCTGCAGAAGCATTTTCCTACAGCCCAGAGATTGCTCACACCCAGGTGGAAGGGACCCAGGCCTCTGAGGTCACCAGTAAGAGGACAGAGGCCAAAGCCCCAGCCCAGGCCCCTGAGAAGGTGCAAATGAGCTGCCAGGGGGACTCTGAAGGGCCACTTTCCATGGCTGCTTAGGGCCAGAAGAGGCTGAGGAGGCCCCAGTAGTCCAAGATGGCAAACTACGAGGCCTGCTCTTGTATGGCCTGGGTTGTAAGCTAAGAATGGTTTTTATATTTTGAAAAGGTTATTGAAAGAGAGACTGTCTGTCGTCTGCAAAGCCTCATGTATTTATCCTCTAGTCCTTCACAGAAAGTTTGCCAGCCCCTTAGAGACGTTTGTTGAATAGTTGGGGAAACTGAGGCCTGGGGCAGGAGGGGCAGGCCTGGTGACAGGCAGCCACTATCCCCAGGAGAGAGGCATGGAGCTTTTGAAAATGGCTGAGGGGGGCACTCTTTTATATTTATAAAAATATCCCCACCTCCCGGCTGAGGCCAGGCGGCAGGCCCTGCACTCACGGGCATAGTGCTCCCCGGCTGCGGGAACCAGGCCGTACGTCTTCCCCGCCGTGTAAATGTCCTCGCCACTCAGGGTCACAGCGTCGACCTGCTCAGCCTGAAGGGAATAGAAGAAGCCACTGGGCCGGGGTGGGCCCAGGATGGCTCTGGATGTCGGGGTCCTGTGGAGGTGGCAGGGCCTGGTCTCTTGGGGTTTGTGGCCTCAGGCTTCCTTCCCCTGGGGAATGTGGGTGGGGAGTACCCCATCCTGGCAGTCTGTCCCTTCCTCTCCTTGTGAAGACGCCTGGCCAGGAGTGGTGCCTGGAGGACCAAGGGGCAGAAACACCCACGCAGCACTCCTGCGCGTGGCCACCCAGGGTCCCCTGTGTCCCTGCTCTGAGCAAAGCAAGCGCGATCCCTACCCTCATGCTTGGCGTGGGCCTCCCTGTGCCCTGCCAGCCCCCAGACAGCCGGGCACCGCCTCTCCAGCACCTGGCCAAGGGCCAGCACAGCGTGTGCTGCAATGCCTGTCTGTTAAATGCGTGTACAGATGGAAGAATGACCGGATCTGAAACGATGGCAGTCTCAGGGCCTGGGGAGGAGGCTTCAGGGCTGAGGGATGGAGCTCTGCCTGCGGAGGCGCGGGAGGGTCCAGTGCCTTCTTCCCAGGACCCTCCTGGGGCCTCCAGGTCACCTGCACCCACCCCGCTTGTCCATTCGGAAGCCTATTGACAGGTGGTCCCAGGACCCCGCCAAGGGGCTAACTGGTAACAGAGCCATAGTAGTGTGATTAACCTCAAGGGAAGGGGATGACAGTGTGACAGTGGGGGAGAGTGCGGACACCTGTGCCCCAGGAAGGTGTCCCACGCCATTCCTGAAGAGGCATGAAGTGATGGCGGTTAATAACAGGCAGCGGCGTTGATATTTGGGGCCAGGAGGGTGCACAGCTCGGGGCCCTTTTTCCACCACTCAGACCTCCCCCTTCCTATTGTGCTGTCGGGCAGGACACAGACCCTGCACCACAGCCCAGGGCGCTTCTGGCTGATGGTCCCTTCCCTGGGTAACTGGCAGGGCAGGAATGGGTGTTACAGCCACACTGGACTCCTCTCTGAGAACCTCAGAAGCTAGAACTGAGGGTCTTTGAGCCCTTTGCTGGGGTTCTGAGGAGCCCCTGAAGTCTCTCCTCTTCCTGCAGGCCCCAGGGCAGCCCCGTGGCCCTCTGTGAGCCCAGATTGAGAGGAGGCTGTCACTCAGAGGGAGCTGAAACCTCCCTCCCTGCACCTCTCCCTGCTCTGGGGCTCTTGGAACAATAGGGCAGCCTGCCAGGCATTAGGAAATAAAGACCCTCCCAACGAGCCCTTTCCGCAGTTCCGGTGGAGGTTCCTCTGTCACCGTCACACACAGTCGCGCTCAGCTCTGCACAAGGACAGGCTTCTATCGGGCCTGCGGAAGCTCCCGGAACACCCCCGCCTCGGGCCTGGGCACTCCTTGGCCTGAGGCTGGGGTGGTCTCCACTCCTGAG
This sequence comes from Homo sapiens, assembly GCF_000001405.40. Lineage (NCBI taxonomy): Eukaryota > Metazoa > Chordata > Mammalia > Primates > Hominidae > Homo > Homo sapiens. Next base: position 197,012,199 of record NC_000003.12, read on the forward strand.
ATCCAGAAGTGTGAAGACAGGGCTGTGGCCTGGCTCAGGCAACGCGGTGTGGGGAGGCTCATACAGCACATCCCGGCTGGTGACTTTGGGCAAGTTACTTCCCCAGCCTCTCTCTCCCCGGTTCCAGACCCAGAAGTGGGGCTGATGGTCACAGCCACCGCCAGGGCTGTTGTGAGGGTTACACGAGATGATCCACACAATGGCCCTCACTGTGTGGGGCATACGGGGAGTGTCAGCTTGCGCGATGGTCATCGTCGTAAGCCTGGTCACCCTGTATTCTTGCCCGGTCTCCTCTTTGTGGCCTTCCAGTCGATGTGGTTCCCTGGCCTGGGCAGAGTTGGCACTGCTGAGGGGCCTGTGCTTGGGGACCCCCTGAGCAGGCCCCACCTACTTGCTCTGAAAACAAAAACTGGGGAGTGTGAACACCCAAGGGCTGACAGCCGGGGCTCTGGGCCGAGGCTGGACACCCGTGACCACAGCAGTCCTCCCTGACTGCAGGGCCACGGGGGCCCCCTCTGCATCTGGCGTTAGTCTCCAGGCAGAGAAGAGAACCAGGAAAGAGCTGAACAGGCACTAGAGATCAGGCCAGTGTTTCTAGCTGCGGATGGTGAGCCTATTCATGGGGGCCAAATCGAGTGGGTCATGACAAGTGTCAGGAAAAAAAGGATTAGAATAGAATACATTAGAAAATAGTGGGTACCATTTGTGTCATATCTCTGTATATAAAGGACATACATTTTTAAATTTCTATCTGAAAGAAAAGTTTCCGTTCACTAGATTGTGATCAATGCAAAATGTATTCTGAGTGCTCGGTGCTGTCAGCAATGCTGAACTTCCCTATGAAAATTCCAATGACATTCTTTACAGAATTAGAAAGAACAATCCTAAACTTTGTATGGAACCACAAGGGACCCTGAATAGCCAAAGCAATCCTAAGCAAAAAGAACAAAGATAGAGGCATAGAAACGGACATATAGACCAATGATCCAGAATAGAGAACCCAGAAATTAACCCGCAGTTTTACAGCCAGCTGATTTTTGACAAAGGTTTCAAGAACCTCTTTGGGAAAAGAGTGATCTCTTCTTCAGTGGACGCTGCTGGGAAGAAGCTGAATGTCCAAGTGCAGAATGAACGGGGCCCTAAACTACCCCTCACCCAGCACAGGGACCAACTCAAAATGGATGAGAGGCCTAAATGCAGGGCCCAAGACAATAAAATTGCTGAAGAGAATATAGGCAAAACGCTTCAGGACATTGGTCTGAGAAAAGATTTTATGAAAAGACCTCGAAAGCATAGGCAACAAAAGCAATAATAAGCAAAGGGAATTGTATCAAACAAACAAGTTTCTGCACAGCAGAGAAAACAACGAACAGAGTGAAATGAAGACAGCCTATGGAATGAGAGAAAATATTTGCAAACTACTCATCCAACAGGGGATTAATATCCAGAATACACATGCAACGGAAACATCTCAACAGCAGAAAACCATCCAACTTAAAAACGGGCAAATGATCAGAACAGACGTTTCTCAAAAGAAGACATACAAAATGCCAGCAGCCATCACTGATCATCAGGGAAATGCAAATCAAAGCCACAGTGAGGTATCAGCTCACCCCAGTTAGGGTGGCTGTTATCAAAAAGATAAAAAATAACAAATGCTAGTGAGGATGCAGAATAAAGGAAACTCTTACACACCGTTGCTGGGGATGTAAACCCGGACAGCCGCTATGGAAAACAGTACGGAAGTCCCTCCACAAACTACAAATCGAACTATTGAATACCATATGGTCCAGTAATCCCACCACTGGGAATCTGTCCAAAGGAAAGGCAATCAGCCTGTGGAAGGGATGCCCGCACCCCATGTTTATCGCAGCACTGGCCACAATAGCCAGGATGTGGAATCAACCCAGGTGTCCAACAACAGAGGATGGATAGAGAAAATGTCATTGGCATGCACCGTGGAATACTATTTAGCCATAAAAAAGAATGAAATCCTGTCACTGGCAGCAACACGGACGGAACTGGGGGACACCGTGTTATGTGAAATAAGCCAGGCACAGCAAGTTAAACACCATATGTTCCACTCATATGTGGAAGCTAAAAAAAGTTGATCTCACAGAAGTAAAAAGTAGAACAGAGGATGCTGCAGACTGGGAAGGGTAGGGGAAGGGAGGAATAGGGAGAGTTTTTTTTTTTTTTTTTTTTTTTGAGACAGTCTCTCTCTTGTCGCCCAGGCTGGAGTGCAATGGTGTGATCTCGGCTCCCTGCAACCTCCACCTCCCGGGTCCAAGCGATTCTCCTGCCTCAGCCTCCCAAGTAGTTGGGATTACAACTGTGTGCCACCATGCTCGGCTAATTTTTTTGTACTTTTAGTAGAAACAGAGTTTCACCATGTTGGCCAGGCTGGTCTTGAACTCCTAACCTCAAGTGATCCACCCACCTTGGCCTCCCAAAGTGCTGGGATTATAGGTGTGAGCCAATGCACCCAGCCAGGAGAGATAGGAGGAATAAGCTCCAGTGTTCTATAGACTGTAGGATGACTAGAGTTAACAATAATACATAGTTTCAAACAGGTAGGACGATATTGCATGTTCTCCACACGGAGAAATGAGCAATGTTTGAGATGATGGTATGTTAATTATTATCCTGCTCTGATCACCATGTATTCTATGTATCAAAACATCAGTATGTATCTCATGAATATGCACAATTATTATTTGTCTATTTAGAAAAATCAGGAAAAAAGAAAAAAAAAGTCGAACAATGATCCACGCCCACTCTCTATTGCACAAGGGAAGGCTGAGATTCAGAAAGGGGAAGGGGCTTGCCCCAGGCTACAGGGCGTCAGTGCCCAGCTGGGCCAGCGCTTCTTCTGCTCCTGGCACCCCCACTTAGTGAGGAGCTCCCAGGCTCTCCAGGGGACTCACCCCTATCTGCCTGTCCCCTGGGGTGGGTGCTGGCCCCTGCGGTCGCTCCTCCCCGCCTGTCTCTGTCCCCTGGGGTGGGTGCTGGCCCCTGCGGTCGCTCCTCCCCACCCGTCTCTGTGGGCTTGTTGCAGTAGACACTCTCCTCTTCCCCAGGCAGCAGGGGGTGTGGGTAGTAAGAACTGCCCAGGCACTGCCACCACCCGCCCACCTGGCCCACGCTGCACCTGCGTGACTCCCACCTGGATCCGCTCCATGCAGTGTTGGGGGGACTTGGCTGACACGCACTGGATCTCTGGCTTGAGCCGCTGCCGGCGGAAGGCCACGGCCATGTCTCCACACTTCTGGATCTCGGGAGTGGAGAGCACACACCAGCGCAGGTAGGGGGGCAGCCCTGGGGTGGGGCAAGCAAGCGGTCACTGCCAGGCCAGTACTGCCATGGAAGAGCATGGAGTCGGACCCAAGGGAAATTCTGGGCCTTTCTCCTGTCAGGTGTGTGGCTGGGATAAGTTATTTAACCATCGGATCCCACTTCCTCACACAGAAAAGGGGCAACTGTGAGGCCTGAGGAAGACCATGGCTGGCGTGCATGTAACTCAGTGTGTGGTACCCACTTCCCTGGCTGGAGGTGGAAGATACATGGGGCCAGGGGGCTAAAGGCAAGAAGCTCACTTGTAGACTACTGCAATAGTCCAGGCGAAAGATGGCACCTGCGCCAGGGCTGTAGCCATGGGGTAGAGGCGGGGAGTAGGAGCGAGAGGCTGTAGAAGAGCTGACAGGATGCCATGGCCGTGGATGGGGGGGCGAGGAGACCCTTCCCAAGACAGATTCTGATGGTCTGCATCCTCCCCCGCTGCGGCCAGGTGGGGCTTCCGAGGTACAACAGGCCATACAGTGGAAGAGATGCCTCCTCCCCAAAGCCCCAGGGGCAGAGGAATGGAAATGACAGGTTCCCGCAGAGGCCTCCCTGGTGAGCGTCTTCCCCCGGCCACTTTCCCAGAGAGCCTCGCCATGCCCGAGGTTGAGCTGGGCTGGAGCTGGCAGCAGTGGGGACAGGTGGACTTACGGTTGGGGTCACAGAGCAGACCCTTCATGGCGTGCAGGTACTCATGGCCCAGCCACGCCTCATAGGTCTGTGTGGCGATGGGCACAAGCTCCGAGGTAGAGTCTTTGAAGAGTAGATCCTTCTGGCCATAGGCCTCAGAGCTGAACATCTGGAAGCTGCTGCCCTCGTGGCTGAACAGACGCTGTGTGTCAAGGGGTGTGGTACAGGGTGGTGAGGGTGCTGACAGGCCATATCCTTCCCTCCCACTTTGGCCCCTACCTCCTTCTTCCCCGACCTCAGACCAGGCACCCACCCTGAGGGCCAGGTGAGGCCTCCCTCTTCTGCGGCGCCTCCCCTGATCTGCGGCCTCCTTCCCCTGGGCCCTGTCAGTTCTGGGTCTACTCTGAGTTCATTTGGCCTCCTCACACTCAGCTGTTTGGACACATGGCTGTGGCCAGGCATGGGACGGTCCTGAGGACACGCCGTGGGGCTGGTGGTAGCAGCCTGGATAGGGCAAAACTAACTGAGCCTGGGGCACCAGCAGTCAGAAGTCTATTGCTGTCACAAGCGGCGGTTTTAGCCAAACCTTATTCGCCACATGTAATTAATGGTGTGCTTTGAAAGGCGCTGGTTTTGTTACTTGGTTTATTTGCTCATATGTTTTGGTTTTAGCTCTCAGAGACACAAGTCTCAGGAGCTTCTTCTGAGGGTGCCTGAATCCCTGGGTCCCCCTCCTCTGGGCCCCCCTCTCCTGGCCAGCCCTCCTTCTGGCCAGCCAGCATAGTCGGTTCCTCACTCTGACCTGGCCCGATGCTGGGGTCCGTCCCAAGGACAGTCTCTGGGTCCTGCCCCTCCTGGTCCCACCCTGCTGAGCGACCACAAGGCCCGGCACCATCTAGGAAGCTGTGCAGGTGGTTGGGGGACCCTGAGCCCACCTGGCCTTCGTTGAGCAGCCGGAAGATGAGGCCCCCATCTGTGTCGGCCCGGACCACCACGGCGTGAGCAGGCACCCGGGCCAGATGGCACTGCCTCCACTCGGTGACATCGGCCCGGCTACCATCCCGGCACAGCAGCTCGAAGTCCTGTGACAGCAGGGCCTGGCCCCAGGAGGGAAGCGTCTTCCCTGGGAAGCAGGAAGCCTGGGCTGAGCCAGCTCCGAAAGGGGTTGGGGCGGGTGGCGGGGAAGGCCCAGGAGAGGGAATCTGAGGGGTGGCTGGGTGTCATGGACATGAGAACCCAGCATTCAGAAGGTGGCAGAGCTTGGTGGCCGCACCCAACTCCAGGTACCTACACAGACTCTATCTCGTTACTCTCATTTTCTAGCTCTCACCAATTTCTATTGCTAAAGTGAATTGGAGGTATCTGACAGTAATACAATACTTATAAATAACTATTCAAGATAAAAAAAGTAAGAAAATAAGAAAGGCTGGCCGGGCGTGGTGGCTCACGCCTGTAATCCCAGCACTTTGGGAGGCCGAGGTGGGCGGATCACGAGGTCAGGAGATCAAGACCATCCTGGCTAACACGGTGAAACCCCATCTCTACTAAAAATACAAAAAATTAGCTGGGCGTGGTGGCGGGCGCCTGTAATCCCAGCTACTGGGGAGGCTGAGGCAGGAGAATGGTGTGAACCTGGGAGGCGGAGCTTGCAGTGAGCCGAGATCACGCCACTGCACTCCAGCCTGGGCGACAGAGCGAAACTCTGTCTCAAAAAAAAAGAAAGGCTTTGGGTGAGACAGATGAATGTACCAAGAGTCTAGGATGAGCTTGCGGCTGCCATGAGGCACTGCGTTTGGCTCTGAGCAGGGGGCAGGGGGCAGGGCTCCCGGAGCAGGGGCCACGGTGGAAACAAACCCCGAAGGAATCTACCCACCCCAGGACTAGAGAGGACGGGGGATCTCCCATAACTCCAACTATTCATATTGCGATGGATTTCTTTCAAGTCCTTTTTTCTATTTTATTTCCTGTCTTTTGACCTCACCCCCCCTTTTTCTTTTTGAGACGGAGTCTGGCCCTTTCGCCCAGGCTGGAGTGCAGTGGCACGATCTCGGCTCACTGCAACCTCCACCTTCCGGGTTCACGCCATTCTCCTGCCTCAGCCTCCCGAGTAGCTGGGACCACAGGTGCCCGCCACCACGCCCGGCTAATTTTTTGTATTTTTTTTTATTAGAGATGGGGTTTTACTGTGTTAGCCAGGATGGTCTTGATCTCCTGACCTCGTGATCCACCCACCTCGGCCTCCCAAAGTGCTGGGATTACAGGCGTGAGCCTCCACACCTGGCCTTTTTTCTCTTTTTGAGATGGAGTCTTACTCTGTCGCTCAGGCTGGAGTGCAGTGGCATGATCTTGGCTCACTGCAACCTCCGCCTCCCAGGTTCAAGTTATTCTTCTGCCTCAGCCTCCCGAGTAGCTCAGATTACAGGTGTGCACCAAGATGCCTGGCTAATTTTTGTATTTTTCCTAGAGATGGGGTTTCACCATGTTGGCCAGGCCGGTCTTGAACCCCTGACCTCATGATCTGCCAGCCTCGGCCTCCCAAAGTGCTGGGATTACAGGCGTGAGGCACCGTGCCCAGCCTCCTTTTGACCGCTTTTAACCTGGTTAAGGACATAGTTGACAGGCAATTTTGCATCCTATTTGGTAGAGTATTTTTCCACAGTATTGGAAACTTTCCATAAGTTCATTTGTTTCTCGATAGAAAAGAAAATTTGCAAGAGTAACTATTAACACCAAACAGGGATATTGAGAAGACGAATATTAAGGACTATAATTAAACCACAGATGGTCCCACATAACAATATTTTTATGACCTTAAGACAAGGAGGAAAAAAACCTCTACAAGGAAATAGGAAGAAAAAAGATAATTTGTATGGTCATGAAAGCTTTCACTGCAAAGCTATTTTAAAACAAAACCAAACACCCGCACCAGAGTGATCGTTTAGGAAAACTCCCTAAAGGTCATTGTTAATGGCCACATGGTAGTTTACAGCACTGTTAATGATTCAGTGTAGTCCTACCCCCGCTTCCCAACTTTCCTGTTTTTCGGCGGCTGCAAAACCTTTGGTTAGAGCTCTGGGGCATCATTTGCCTTCCCACAGACAAAGGCATCATTTAGGTGCTTCCATCAGCCACTCCCGCTTCTCCTCAGCCAAGAACAATGAAAGTCCTGTCACTTCCCTGCTTTAGACATTTATGCCACTTCTACCCCTTGGCTCTTACCAATCTTTCTGTATAAAGTCACTTAAAAAATGACTCCCTTAGATTGCCTCAGATTACCATCAACACTTTGAAAAAGCTGCCAGGTGCACGCCTGTCATCCCAGCTACTCAGGAGGCTGAGATGCGAGGATCAGTTGAGGCTGGGGGTTTGAGACCAGCCTGGGCAACATGGTGAGACCCCCATCTCAAAAAAAACCCCAAGTTTGAAAGAGCTGATTCTTAACCCAACATATCCCTACTCTTTGCCCGTTTTCCAAATTCTCCTTTGTCAGACTCGTCCTGGGGCCTGTGAACGGGAGCCCATTTCCAGGCTTGCCCAGCACTAGAGCGCATCGTCCTACGTGCTTCCTCGTGTGCAGGGCACTCGCCTTCTTCCTCCTCAGATCTGGTCCATGTTTGCCTTCGTGATGGACTTTCTGATTTAAAAGGCAATGGTTAATAACAGCAAAGAATGACAATGATTTAAAAAAAAAACCCAATCATCAGACGTCCTGGGAGACGCAAAACTGCAGACAGAACGGTGTGTTTGCTGCTTGCTGGCAGGTGCGGGGAGATAACTAGCAGGGGCCTGAGGAACTCCTGGGCTGAAGGGTCTGCCCCATCAAGATCTCGATTGTGGTGGTGGTTATACAACTGCATGTATTTGGCAAAACTCATAGAACTATCCTTCAAAAAGAACAAATTTTGCTGCATGTAAATTATATCTCAATTTAAAAAAAGAAACAATCTTCAGGCAAATCTAAATTGAGGGACATTCTATAAAATAACCGGCCTGATGCTTCAAAATGCCAATGTCATAAAAACAAAGACTGAGAAACTGTTCCAAGATAAAGGAAAGTAAAGAGATCTAACAACTAAACCCCATGCGTGGTAAGAGTTTAGGTCCTGGTCTGCAAGAAATGGGCATGAAGGACAGAATTGGGACGGTGAGTGAATCTGCAATATCGGCTATAGACTGGATAACAGGATTGTATCAAAGTTGCGTGTCCTGATTTGGATTACTGTGGCTAGGTACACACCTCCTTGTCTTAGGAGATACATACCAAAGTATTCAAGGGGTATGACATAGGCAAATGTACTCTCAAATGGGTCAGAACACACACGCACACACACACACACACACAATAAAATGTGGGAAAATGCTAAACAGTTAGAATTTGGGTGAAGAATAGAAGGGAGCTCTTTGAGTTATTCTTGTAAGTTTTCCAAAGCTCAGTTCTTTCAAAATTAAAAAACTTAAATGACATGATGGCTCAATATATAACACCAGTCTTTGTGGGTTTTTTTTTTGTTGTTGTTTTTTAGACAGAGTCTCGCTCTGTCACCAGGCTGGAGTGCAGTGGTGTGATCTCGGCTCACTGCAATCTCTGCCTCCTGGGTTCAAGCAATTCCCCTGCCTCAGCCTCCCAAGTAGCTGGGATTTGAGGCACCCACCACCACGCTCGGCTAGTTTTTTGTATTTTAGCAGAGATAGGATTTCACCATGTTGGCCAGGATGGTCTCTTCTCCTGACCTCGTGATCCGCCCACCTCGGCCTCCCAAAGTGCTGGGATTACAGGCATGAGCCACCGTGCCCAGCCTCAACACCAAACTATATCTTAAACCTTCCCAGGGATGAGGGACAAATTCTCCAGGCAAGAGGAGAAAAATGCCAGGAAGGGCTGGTAGGTGAGATCCAGTGCAGGGGTTTGCAAATTGCTTAAAAAATCAGACCCTCATCTTCAGGTGGAACCAGAACCCAATGCCATATTCAAATCAAAGCAGAGCAGAGCTGCTCGCTGGCCCCCTTCTCCTGCCCTGTGGGCAGTGGGCACTCCACTGGTGACACCTGCCTCTGCTCTTTTGCAGCTGGGAGTGCTGAGGCTCGGAGACTGTGGGACTTGTCCAAGGTCACCCAGAGACTCAGAGCAGCACTGCACTAGGGCGTTTGATCCCAACTCTGCCATCTAGGGTCCCTGCCCCAAGCCGGCCTGGCCTGACTCCCTGCTCCTCTGGGCCCGTGCCCCTCCCCCACTCACCATCCGTGTTCTCCAGTACCGTGCTGTGCTTCACAAAAGCCACGTCCCCTGCCCCTTCCGCCAGGCACCTGCGGAGGAGAAGCTGTGGGTCTGGATGGGCTGAGCCCCTGCCCCTGCCCATCTTCCACCTCTGGAGGCCTGGCTTGGGCTGTAGGGGTGGCCATGATGGGCATGGGCTTTCCAGTTGTGTGGTCTGGGTTCCAGCTCCCTGGCTGGTCGGCTGTGTGCCTTTGCCGAGTTGTGGCCCCTTCCTAGCCCCTATCATCTGTAAAGCGGGGGTGGGAAAGTAGCTCCCACAGGGCTGCTCTGAGGATGAGAGGCTCCTTATAATCCAGTATGGACCCTCTCCATCTTAGCTCAGGCCTGTAGGGAGCAGGCACTCCCAGGGCAGCTGCTATTATAATATCAGCAGCCTTGACTCTCAGGGCGTCGGTTTTCTGTGTGTTTGTTTTCGTTGTTTTGTTTTTAGAGATAGGGTCTCACTGTGTCGCCCAGGCTGGAGTGCAGTGGCGCAATCATAGCTCATGGCAGCTTTGACCTCTTGGGCTCAAGTGATCATCCTGCCTCTGCCTCCAAAGTAGCTGGGGTGACAGGTGTGTGCCACCATGCTGGGCTAATTTTCAGGGTGTTTTGAAGAGCATTCTACCCTGAGGCAGGGGATTGGACTAGAAGGCCTTTTCATGCCATGCCGCAGAATCCTCAGTGGAAGGGACCATTGACTTTTACACGATCTGCTGATGTCACTGCCCAGTGTTGGAGGCAGGTCAGACCTCCTGGGCAAAGGGTCTGCTTGGGTCCCCACGGGCAGAAAATGCACAGGGATTAGAGCAGATCGGGGCGGGCGACATCAGGAGAGGGCTCTGAGGCTCCAAGAGAGCCAGAGAGAATGTGTGCATGGCCAAGGACACGGGGAGTGGAGGGGCAAGGCTGTCCCGCTCAGGGGTGCTGAGGACTGTTTCTTCTCTCTAAGCCGAAAACCGCATCCAGTCAGATAACATCTGGAGTGTGGGGCACCAGCAGGCTTCCCTGCTCCAGGTGGAAACGTGAGGTAGCTAGAGGGGCCCGAGAAGCTTCCTTTCCAATCCTGCTGAGCACATTTCCTCCTCTGCAGGCAGATGGAATTGGACCACGAGCTGTTAGAGTCTCCTGCATCCACGGAAGGGTTACCCAAGGTGCCAGCCGCAACCAGCAGCAGAGACGGGCCGGCCCCAGGTGTCCAGACACACTCCCCTGACCCCGCTCCCTGCTGGTCTGAGAATGGGGACATGGGAGTGGCCAAAAGGCTGTTTTTTCCATTTTCTTCTCTTGGAGCCCTCACCTCACTAAATATACCAAACACGTTGATTTCATGAGCAAATCCGGTTTGGCATATTCCAGCTGGATGTTTTTAAACTAACCAGGGCACAGAACTATATAAAGGGTGCTTTGATGAGACGCAGCCAACATGCCACTTCCCCCTCCACGGCCCTCTCTGGGCAAAGGTGTTTTTCCCCAGCATTTGTGGCCTCAGCTCCTCCCTGCCCTCGGCCCCTCCCTGCCCCCACTCCGCTCACCGGAAGGCCCCGCTGTAGTCGTAGTATCTCTCCAGGGGGCTCTTGTCACACACCCCTTCCCCAGAGCTGTCACCCCTGCAGAGGCGACAGAGGGACTCAGAGTAACTGGTCTCTCCTGCCCCCGGGACGCAGCTGCCCCCAAAATAGTCGCTGACAGCTGTGGGAAGGAGGTAGAGAGGTCACTCAGCAGAACTTTCTTCAGAGCCAAGCCAAGCCCCCAGGGTCAGCAGGGGGCCCGGGCTCTCATCTGGACTCTGCTGAGAATGGTTCCACCTTCCAGCTTCAGTCTGAGCAAAGCTGGGGAGTGGACCCGATCAGTGACCCCCAAACCGGGTCCACCAAGGCAGCAGACAGCACTGGGAGCGACTGTCATTTAAAAATGGTTCGGGGGAACTAAACATTTCCTCCTAAATGACCACGTGGGATAACTCAGTATCAGCCAGATGCTCTTCTCACTGTGGGTTTCATTTCCAGCTCAGCCAACTGTGACTGATGACAGAGGGGAAATAAAGAATTATTGAAGATCACTGATGGGTAGACAACCCTTCTCACGGCACAGGGAGGGAGGCACACGCCCGGCGGCCAGCCTCACGGGGGACGAGGTCAGGGTCTGCCGCCCTGCATGGTTCTTCCGGCCCTGCCAGCACCAAAACCCACAAGTATTTATCCTGTGCCGCGCGAGGAGGCCCTGCTGCTGGCACCTGAGCCAGTCGGGCCACGCTCATCGCCAGCCAGACTGAGCTTTTCCAGAGTAAGCCCTCTTCCTGGTTTTTTTTTTGTGACCTCCCAGAGGAGTAGATATTTAATAAATATGCCAAGTGCCTGGTGAGCCACTCACACCTGGCCACCAGCTGAGAGGGTGAGGCTTCCAGGCTCTCGCGGGTTTACACGGCTGGTTGGGCTGATGAGCCACTTGGGAGCTTTCTGGGTGCAAGTCGGCACCTCGTTTGGGTCCTGAAAAAATAGCATTTCTGGTCCTGTAAAGCCGAGGACACATTTCTAGACACAGTGACCTGCGCCCGGTCTATACTGGTGGGAAGCACTCCTGGGAGATTCACTGCTTCCCACTCATGGGCTGGGCCTGTGCCTGGCTGTGCCATGTGGGACACCACGATGCGTGAGCAAGAATCGCGCCCCACAGGGTCCAAGCAAGCAGGAAGTCAAGCGGCGGCGCCGGCGGCAGAGTGGAGGCGGGGGAGGCACGGGGCGGGCGGGGGCTGCTGCGCCTTCCAGGAATGAAGAATGGTGGCGAGGCCGGAGGGAGGCTACCCAGTGAAGGGACGAGCATGGGCCAAGGAAAGGAGGGGGAGGCCTGGGGACCCTCCTGCCCAGCCCAAAGCCCTCACCTTTGAGTACATCGCAGCCCATCACCGAGAGGCGGCCGCTCTCCACCAGGTAGCCCACGGGCACGTTCCAGCCCACTGTGCGATTGATGCCCGTGTGGCAGGACTTCACGCCTTTCAGGGTGTCAATGGTCACATGGGAGCTCCTCCTGACCACAGCCACGGCGTAATAGGAGGTACCGACCTCTAGGAGGGGAGGGGAGTGGGTGAGGGCAGCAGGGAGAGGCCTCGAGAGAGGCTGCACCAGCACCCTGCCTGGGCGGGCTGTGGGAGAGGTGTGTGCACGGAGCACGGCTGTACACACGGATGTGTGCATAGCGTTCTCGTTACCAAGAGAGCAAGTGGGCTTCATCTGCATGTATTAAGAGGCCCTGCCCTCTAGCCTCTTGAGGTAGAGACGATCCTGAGATATTGATGTATTCATTGATTTCCCCCTCTTCCTTCCCCAGCAGCTGGTGCTTAGCTGGGTCCACATTTGCTCACATCAGGGGAGTTATTTAGCTGGACAGAAAGCAGAAGCCAGCAAGTCCTTGCTTTCCAAGAGCCTAGGCCCCTAGGAGAACTTGGAGGGTTTGGGGGAATGGTGTCAGGGTCATGGGAAGAAGGGTGTCTGGGAGGAGCAGGGGAGCCGAGGAGGGGCTTCCCCAGATGAGGAGCGGCGATTTCCTGGTGCTGAGGGGGTTGAAGGAGAGTGAGACAGAGGCAGAGACAGAGAGAACTAGCGATGTGGCCCCAAGTCGCTCACGACCCTGAATGCTGCAGGGTGTGTGTGGTGGGGCCAGGGCTCTGCAGCCTTGCAAAGCGTTCCCCTGTGCCAAGGTGGCTCCAAGGGGCTGCTCAGGCAAAACACAGACTCAGCTGTGGGAACTGATGCCCAGAGGGTCTCCCATCGCACGGGCGCACACACGCAGGCATGCACGCGTGCACAAACTGCCCGGTGGTGTGGGAGGCCATATCAGAATGAAGTTGAGTTCTAGAACATAAAGCCAGTGTTACTTCTTGCACACCAGGGTCTGGCCCCCGCCAACCTGAGTAGCTCCGTCTGGTACCATCCTCTGACTCACCCGCCTTGTTTCTTACCAATCCTCTGGACCGCCTGAGATGGTTGCGGGGCTCAGCTTACCCATCACCTCTGCAGAGCACCGTCCTGCCTGCTCTATTTCAGTGGATTTCCCCGCAACCCTCGTTTTCTCTGTCCTGCCCTTCCCTTTTCCTCACAGCACCCCAACATGTGTCACTGTATTGTTTTGGGTGTGTTTATTTACTCTCTGCTCTGTGGGGGCAGGAAGGTCTCTTCGTTTACTGCTGCATGCTTATGACCAGCGGGTAGCAGGTGCTCAGTAGAGGTGTCGAGTTAATTAAAGAGGAAGAGGTGCGTGGGGCCTCGGAGGCAGAGCTGTTTCTGGCTGATGGGTGTGCAGGGTTGGACTGTGCCGTGTGTCATTTGATGGCCATTAATTCAACAAGGAACCAGCCAGTGCTTTCTCCAAGCGAGATGCTGTGTGGAGTTCCAGAGGGTAGACACAGGGGAAGACTGGACCCTCCTCTGAGGACTAACGAGACTGAGCAGGCAGAGGCTTGCAGAGGCCATGTGGGTGCGGGCAAGAGAGGCCCTGCTCCAGAGAGGGAGGGGCTCAGGGAGCACCTTGGAGGAGGTGACAGTTGCGCTGGACTGTGATGGAGGCCAGGCACCGGCCAAGCAGAGGTGGCGGGGGAGACACAGGAGCTGGCTGAGCTGGAGGCAGGTCCCATGTGTGATGCGGGGACTGGGCAAAGGAACTCACACTTTCCAGCACATACCACATGTCAGGTGGGCACACGGCCTGGCTCATTTAGTCTGGGTGACAGCGCAGGTGTTACTATCCCCATTATACAGTCTGGGAAGTGGAGGTTGGCCAAGGTCACAGAAGTCATGGGAAGGGGAAGGGCTGGGTCTGCTGAGCTGTGCCGCTGCCAGACAGCACCTCCCTACCCGGAGCCGGGCTTCTGAAGGGAGGCCCTGAGAGTGCAGGTGGCTCGGCATTAAGGACGCCTTGCTCACCCAAGGCAGTTACGCACACAGCACCGTGCCCGGCACCACGCCAGGCCCGGGACAGCCCGCAGTAAGAGCTGAGTGGGCACAGGCTAGGGGGCTGCTGGGCTCCCTGCGGGCAAGAGCAGACTTGGGGCAGCTCTCTGTGTCCCTGGAGCTCCTGTCCCTGGGGAATTTGAGAGAGCCTTAGGGCGTTCTTCTGGCTGGGACTCCAGGACTGCTCTGTGGACAGGGCTGATGGCCAGCTCAGGCCAGGCCCAGCAAGGGCAGCCTGGAGAGCTGACTTCCAGCGCAGGCTGTCCTCTCTCCTCCCACTGCACCCTCTTACCTTGATCGTACACTTCGCCCACCACCGGCTTCAGGCCGTGCTCCTTTCCCGCCTCATAGATGGCTCCTCCATCCAGAGTGATGGCGTCAGCCTCCTGGGCCTGCAAGGAAATGTGGCTCAGCCAAGCCTGGCCCAGCTGGCCTGCTCAGCAAAGAACTCGGGACACCTACCAGATGGCCTGGGGCCCCACCCCAAGCCCCAGAGGGCTGTGCTGTCCTTCTCATCTGTCCCAGGAGCCCAACCAGAGCCCAGGGCTCTCCCCCTTTCCCAGGCCAGGGATTCACCTTGTTTTCCTAATAATGTTAAAAAAAAAATACTAATCATTGATTTTGCAGGACTCAGATATCATAGTAAAAAAATCAGATAGCAGAAAACGGTGCGCAGTGACAAGTGAGTCTCCCTCGCTTTCTGTCCCTCCACCCTGCGCCTCTACTGCTACCCTAGGTTTTCTAGCTTTTTTTCTCTAAGGTGGTCTGTGCTTGGGGTTTCTGCCCTCACATGGAGCCTGACCCACAGCCTTGGCCCCAGTGTGGGCCTGTGATTGGATTAGGTCTTGGGGGCATATGGGGGGCAGAGCTGGAATGAAAAGCCAGCTTTCTTTGCACCCACCCAGGAGGGACGCCACTCTCTGGTGGTGCCTCGGAGGATTGTCAGTGTCATTTAGCAGTTCTCAGCAGACCTGCTCTCCTACCCCATGCTCACCCACCTGGGAGTCCAGCCCCTGCTCCTCCTTCCCCAGAAACCACACAAGCCCCATTCTGGAGAGCCCCATGGCAAGATGAGCAAGTAACCGCCTGCGGCCACTGAGGGGCCGCCACCATCTGGGCCCCCTTGGCAGGGGCCTTGTGGAAGGGAAGCCTCTCAGGTGCCTTTCTTTGCTGGCGCCCTCTGAGCAGCGGGTCCT